>NC_000007.14:149003834-149155349 GCF_000001405.40 Homo sapiens
CTTCTATAAACTTGCTCAAATGCTCCAGATCTCTGTCTCCACCCTCAAATTTAACTGGGTTCTTTTTGTCCCCACTGGGGGCGAAGTAGATGGTGGGGAAGCCCTCCACCTTATAGCGGTCGCTGGGGACGTCGTTGGCAGTGGCGTCCATCTTGGCGATGACCAGGCCCTTTTGGCCCTTGTACTTCTTGGCCAGGCTGTTGTACACGGGCTCTAGCTGCTTGCAGTGCCCGCACCATGGCGCGTAGAACTCGATGAGGACGTCCTTCTTGGGGTCCATCACAATGGAGTCAAAGGTCTTTCCCACCACGACCTTGACGGGTCCCTTGTTGTTCTTGGGCACTGGCTGGGATTTGATGACTGGCTTCAGTTTTCCTGCCAAGGAAAGCAAGGCGGGAGGGGGCGTCAGTGCTGCAAAGGCCAAAGATTCTGGGGGCTCTCTCTGGACCAGGCAGTGAGGTTGGTGTGGCCACCAGACGGGCCAGTCACACAGGAAGAGCCCACTACTGTAGAAAGTAGTAGCTGCTACTCTCTACTCTCTGTCCTTGCAAAGGCCAGAGAGGTTGCAGGTGGCTCCAGCCCAGACCTAATGGGCCATCGGGTCCTGTCAGAGAGGCCATCACAAGAGTCACTGCCCAGGCAGAGGAGTTCCCGTAAGCACTGGCACTGAGGGCCCGGGAGCCATGGGGGGGAGGTGCCAGGACAACCCACAGACATCGGAACAGCATGGCCTGCCCACAAAATGTGGCCAGCGCTGGGGGCCTGGGGCCATGTGCTCAGCCAAGATCAACAGGCTCTGTTTAAAGCTGTACAGCAAGGTGGCCGAGGGTGAAGAGGCTCTGAGTCAGGCTCTGAAGCCACAAGGGGTGTTCAGCACACCCAGACTTTGCCCTGTCTGGGCTCCATCTTCAGATGCCCCCTCTGCACACCCCGGCCCTAGTCTGGAATTTTAGCACATCAGCGCTGGAAATGTGCTAAGGCCGCTGAGTGATGCTAGGTAAGCCCTGAGATGGACTCCGAATCTTGCTTTTGCTTTCAAAGTAAACACTGGGAGAACTGCCAAGAAGAAAATAGTAACACTTGCAAATCCTTCTTCTAAGCTATTCTGGTGCCTTGGAGTTTGGGGTCACACCCGACATTTCTCTGGACGAGAAGTCAGAGTCCCTCGGGGGTGAGAGAGGACTGCTGGCTGACTTAAGGGGGTGTCGTGCCCGTGGCCAGAGCACCAGACGCCCCTGGCCTGTCTGGATTCCGCACGAGGAGCACAGCAGCTGATGGGAGACCCCAGCCCCAGCCACGGGCTCACCTTTTTTGAAAGCAGTGACAAACTCGCGGAGGGTGTCAGAGTCAAACTCCTCTGGCTCCATGGCGAACTTCTTCCCACTCTCGTCCAGGATGGCGGCATTGACATCCTCCCCACTCTCGCTGAGCCCCAGGTCCTTCACCTCCCCAGCATAGTCCTCTTCGTCCGCAATGGCAAAGGTGTACTCAGGGAAGTCCTTGGCCACCTCTAGGACTTTGCTCCGCCAAAACTGAGTTGCTGAAAGGGACCAAGGGCCATAAGCCAGGCGGCCACACAGAGCAAGTCCCAGCTCAGACTCTGAGGTCAGGCTTCAGGTCCTGTCGCTAATATTCTGACAATGCTCAAACCCTGGATTTACCTCAATTGGAGGGAAACATGTTTCTGGAAAAGCCCCACTTGTCACGGGGGCCACAGCTGCAAGCCCAACAGGCCCTTAAGACCTGTGCCCAGGTGGCACGGCCACGCCTGCCTGGGGCCAGGGCTGGTCTAGTCCCAGCTCTGCAGCCTCTGAACTCCTCCAAGTCTCAGCTACGTCAACTCTAAGAGGGTTCTGCACCTGAATCTAAGCTCCCATCCTGCTAAAAAGGGAAGCCATCAATTAAAAAATATACCTGAGCCACCAACGTGCAAGGGCCCCAGGCTGGGATTTCTGAGTGAGCCATGTACATACAGCCACACCTCCCCTCAACACTCCACCTTGCCTGAAAGAACGAGTCCCCCCACCCCCCACCCCCGCAGGTCTTGGTGGGGGTCCCTCACCAGCTCTGTAATCAAAGCTGAAGTCCACACTGTAGTAGACGACCACCAGGGGGCGCCTGGTGTAGCGCTTAGCATCGTTTGACACCTTGCGGTGGCCAACCAGGGGCAGGGCGTACTTCAGCACGAAGTCCTTGATGGCCGAGTCCTGGGTGGAGCCCTGCTTCAAAGAGGGAACAGGTGAGGGGGCCCACCATCTCCCCACCATTGTTCTTGAGTACAATGTTTGAGGGACTTTGGGGGAGTGGCGACTTTGAAGGGGATCAGTCTTAGGAGGCAAAACACCCCAGGGCTCGACCCCACTCAAGCACAGCCCAGTCATTCCCTACCGTCTTTTGGGGCTCCTTTCCCTCCAGTGAACCGTAGGTGGCTTCTTGGGAAAAGGCAAACACCTTGGCCCTTTCCTTGGGGGTGTAGGCTCACTAACCCCACAAAGAGACCACTCAAGGTAGGCCTGGCTCTTGGCAGACAGGAAGGGTTATCACGGGCTGGGCTGTGTGGAACTTTCCACCTTCAGCTTGTGCGGTCTTCACGCAGGAGGTCCTGAGGGCTCACACTTCACAACGACTGGAGTCCCTCACAGACATCGCCCTCCAGGGGTGGGCAGAGCAAGGTCAGCCACCTGCCCAAGGCTGCGCAGCCAGCAAGTGGTGGGTGGGCCTGTGAGCCCAAGGGTTTCCGTGGGGATGGGATACTCAGGGAGGGGTCCTTGTGTGGCACTGAAGGACAAGAGGGCCCCGCTGGTGAGAAGGGAGCAGAAGGCACTCAGGGAGGCAGCAGAGACTGAGGCAGGGCACGAGGCACAAACAGGATCTGGCGTGACAGCACTGGAGGGTGGGATGTGCTGAAAAGGTGGGTAAGGAGGGCCTGGGAGGCCATGCTAAGGCACAGATAATCCAACTATCTCCCAGGTGGCAGGAGGCCGTGGAGTCTTTAACCATGACATGGCGCTGCGTGCACTTCACTCAGCAGGGAAACGCCAGAAGAACTGGGAGCAGCAGCAATGTGCCCAACAGACAAGACTGCATAGATCTTGAAGCGTCTACTGAAAGCTACAGACCCCTTTCCTGGAATATGCACTCACACACAGAGCTGTGTCCGATTCTCGGGATCAATGGCCCCCCAAGCTCATCAGGACCCCTCTTTGGGCCCAGGATCTTATCTCTGGATGGAAGGAAGTGAAGCTGGGGGGAGGGGTCGCAGCAGCCACTATGAGTCCAGGGAAGAGGAGAGTTGCCCTGAGCTTCAAGTTGGCAGAGAAACAGATGGGATGGACACACAGACCTTGAGAAAGAGGGACAGGACTAAAAACTGAGGAAGGAAACAGAGGACATGGGGACCAGAAAGATTCAGGGTGGTTCTCTCCAAGGTACTGCCATGTTCTGGTGCAGGCCCCCGGGATTCCTGTCCTGTCACACCCCCTGCTCCAGGTCCCATGAGAGCCCACAGCCCAAACAGCCAGGGTCCTGACACTATGGGCCAGTAGGACCTGGAAAGGCCCCTTCACCCCAATCTCAGCTCTGCTTCCCACCAGGAGCTGTGGGGTCTGGGGTGGGGGGTAGAGCTCACTTCTCTGCAGCCCAATCTCTGTTAAACCAAAGCTTCAAACTCGACATCTAAGATCCTTCCAAATCTGAGATCTACTCACCGAAGTGCAGGGCCCCTTCTAAAGCACTCAGAAGGCTGAACTGGCCCCAGGTTCCCCTTGGGCTGGGAACTCCCACTGCCCCTCTAGGGCTGAGTGTGTCACACTCTAGGAGGATGAAGTGCAGGGGTGCAGTAATGGAAAGAAAGGCAAAATCCACCCACCAAGGTCAACAGCTCCCTCTGGTGAACAGACAGGGATGCTGTCCCTCTGTAGCCCCCAGCTGGAGCTGCCCGAACAAACACGACTTGGCCTCAACGGAGCACCATGTGCTGGCCCAGGCCAAACCCACAGTGGAACAGGCACTGGAGGGAGACTGGTGATTGCCTGCCAGGAGGGACAAAGGGTGGCAGCAACTGTTCTGGCAAAACCAAGTGGAGCTCTGCCCAGCCCCAGGACCTGCCAGGTGTGCGGGAGCCCCAGCCCTGTCCCTCCGGCAAAGAGAGACCACAGGCCGCCTGCAGAAAACCTGTGGGGTGGGGAGAACGGGCTGGAAAAGGAGTTCCAGACCCTGCAGACAAGAGCGAAACCTCCACGTTTGAAACCTCAGAGGTGGCTCAAAGCAGAGTCCTCATGCCTGCGGGGTGTCCAGGGCTGGCATGGCAGAGGGGCCCGCTTACCTGGACGTCCATCATGTGGCTCCGGGGCTCATACTTGGACTGGAATTTCTCAGGCTGCATTACAACCAACTGCCCCTGGGAGACTTTCAAGAACTTTGCTATTTCTGTGCTGAAAGTGTGGTGAAATTTGTAATCTTCTCTCAGGTTGTTAGCTGAAACGTTAACAGAATAAGATGTAATTTTGAAAATTGCCTAAATGTCTGAGATTTAATTCGTTACCCACATCAGCCAAAGCAAATGTTCTGAAAATGACCACTGTAGGCTGGGCGCGGTGGCTCACGCCTGTAATCCCAGCACACTTTGGGAAGCCCAGGCAGGTGGATCACTTGAGGTTAGGAGTTTGAGACCAGCCTGGCCAACATGGTGAATCCCTGTCTCTACTAAAAACACAAACATTAGCCGGGTGTGGTGATGCAAGCCTGTAGTCCCAACTACTTGGGAGGCTGAGGCGCAAGAATTGCTTGAACTGGGGAGGTGAGGTGGACGTTGTAGTGAGCCGAGATCACGCCACTGTGTACTTTCAGCCTGGGCGACAGAGTGAGACTGTCTTTAAAAAGAAAAAAAAAAAAGAAAAAGAAAAGAAAAAAAGTCACCACCAAAAATTGTGTGGACAATTCCTATAACTTAAACACTTGAAAGGAGGTTCGTTTTTAAAAACTTGGTACAAGGTATAACGTCTAAATCCTGGCCGGCCACAGTGGCTCACGCCTGTAATCTCAGCACTTTGTGAGGCTGAGGCAGGAGGACTGCTTAAGCCCAGGAGTTAGTTCATTTATTATTTATTTGAGACGGGGTCTTGCTCTGTCCCCCAGGCTGGAGTGAAGTGGCGTGATTTCGGCTCACTGCAGTCTCTGTTTTCCAAGTTCAAGCCAATTCTCCTTCCTGCCTCAGCCTCCCAAGTAGCTGGGACTATAGGCATATGCCATCATGCCTGGCTATGTTATGTAATTTTAGTAGAGACAGGGTTTCACCATGTTGGCCAGGCTGGTCTCGAACTCCTGACATCAAGTGACCCGCCTGTCTTGGCCTCCCCAAGTGCTGGGATTACAGGCATGAGCCACTGTGCTCAGCCAACCCCAAGAGTTTAAGACCAGCCTGGGCAACATGGTGAGACCCCATTTCTATAAAGATAAAATAAATAACAACAACAACAAAAAAACCCCGGAAAAGTTCACAGAAAAACAGCTAATTTGCCAGAAGCTGCTGTCAACTGATGTCTATAAGCAGCACTGATTCTTTGGCAGGGGGAATGTTCTGGAGCCCACATGAGCAGCACACAGTCCTATATCCCTATGTGGAGTTTTCACACCCAGCACCCTTCGTGGAGGTTTAAATCTCCCTTCCTCAAGTTGGTGGGCTGCCTGTTTGTGGGCTGGAGCTCCGAATGAAGTTCTTTGGCTAAAGATACTTTTACTTAAATCCGTGAAAATGCATGATGAAACCCCACGGTCTGAGGGCACCCTACCACAGGGCTGGGCAAACTTTCTGAGAAGGACTAGAGAGTGAGTAGTTAAGGCTCTAAGGACCATGTGGTCTGTCCCAGCTGCTTAACTCTGCTGCTGCAGTGTGAAAGCAGCTGGACAGGGTGTGGACAAAGCTGTGTTCCAATGAGATGTCACATGCAAAGACAGGCTATGGCCAGAATGGGTGTGTGGGCCACAGTGTCAACCCCTACCCTAGATTCTACAGGTAAATGCACCTTCAGTCCCTCTCCATTCTCCTCCTCAAGGCATCCAAACTCATCCTGGGCTGATTTTGAGATTTAAACATTGGGTGTCACCCTACCCTTGAAGGGCTCTTGGTCTAGAGGTTTGTGACTCTCAGCTGGGTTATAGGACACATGTGGCTGAGATGGTAAACCATGTTTTTGGGAGGGCAGGGGATGGGGGGGCAGCCTGGATAAGCCTGTGGCTTTCAGAGTCAGATGGACTTAGATTCATATGATAGGTTTGTGACCTACTAACTGCGTAGCTTTAGACTTGTTAGTTATTAACCTTCCGAGCCACAGGCCCTTCTCTGTAAAACAGAGGCATTAAAATCCACTAAATAAGGCCACACGGGCTGGGTGCTGTGGTTCATGTCTGTAATCCCAGCACTGTGGGAGGCCGAGGCAGGAGGATCACTTGAGCCCAGGAGTTCAAGACCAGCTGGGCAACATGGCAAAATCTTGTCTCCACAAAAAAAATTAGCTGGATGTGGTGGCGCTCACCTGTAGTCCCAGCTACTTGGGAGGCTGAGGTGGAAAAATCACCTGAGCCTGGGGAGGTCAAGGCTGCAGTGAGTCGAGATCACACCACTGCAGTCCAGCCTGGGCAATCAGAGTGAGATCCGGTCTCAAAATAAATAAATAAGGCTACAGCTATCTAGATGGCGCCTGTTTTAAGCCTCCAGGTGTCCTGGGGATTTGTAGTCAGTTGGCTTCAGGCAGAGACAGACCCGCATCAAGAACTTCACCTCCTGCCCACCCCAGGACCACAGACCCTTTCATCCCCCAGCCGCCCTCTCTGCTCCGGCCCTGCCAACCTATCTGTAGAACATCTTGTGTCCCTGGGGCTAACCCCTCTCTCATAAGCAGGCCCAGTGACTCTTGCCCCATCTGCAGCCCTAACCCTGCCCAAGCCAAATCACAGACTGACTCCTAGGAATGTGGTGCCAGGCCTGCCTGGGACCCACAGCACTGGAACCTGCATTTTAACAAATTCCCTGGGGATTTGCATGCACATCAATGCACGTAACTTGCAGTCAGACTTGGGGCTACGGAATCCCCTGCTGCCCATAACCCTGGGTGGGTTGGGGTTTCCTTCTGCAAGTTTCTTCCTGACTAGTTAGGCGTGAATAACAAGGCCACCTAATTAACAGATGAAGGGAATTTAGCTCTACTGGTTTTATACATTAATCTGCATTTGACTTATGCACAATTGTTATTGTAAAGCACAGAATTAGCACTAAGTAGCAAGCTGTGCATTTGAAAAATTATAATCAGTTAGCACTTAGCCAAGCTGGTTTTGGTGTAGTGGGAGAGGGTAGCACTCAGAAGACATCAATGAGGATGGCCAGGACCCTGAGTACACCTGTCCCCAGGCATCAGGAGCCAGACCAAGGCAGACGATGGATTTCAGGATGGGGCAACTGCTGCCTGCCCCTACCCCAACAGAACACTATTGCTGACAGCTGTTCACAGTCATTTCACTCCTCAGGCTAGCAAGACTAGCATTTATAATACACTTAGCATTATCAAGTACATTGCTAAGCTCTTCATCTACATTATCTCAGTGTAATAACCTCTCAGAAAAGACCACCACCTTGGGCAAGAGACCACTAGGCTAACTGAGTCACCACCTGTGGTCACAGTGATAATAACTGGAAGAGCCAGGCCTTGAAAGCTGGTTTGATTCAGAGGCCGGCACCTTATGGCCTGAAGACCTGCCCTCCTCGGGCTCTGGAAGGCAGACATGGAGCTGGGACCGGTCTGACTGTGCCCCTCCCCTGCACCGAGGCCAGGAGGGCCACAGGGGACCCATCTCCAGCCCCAGCCCCAACTCCAACCCCAGAATGGAAAGCTTATTCCCAGAGATGGCTCATCAAACCACCCCCTAATGGATGTCCCAGGAGCTTTCTGAAAAACCAGGCAACCGCAGACGGCCCAAGGCACGCACATTTTGTTCAGCCCAGAGGGCCACAACTCACCGGCATCCTGGTATTGCTGGTAGGCTGGGTCACTCTCCCCCTTAAAGACCCCGATGATGATGACATCGTCTCCATCCTTCAGGAACTCCTGGACCTGCTTCAGGGTCAGAATCTCCTTGGAGGGAGGCCCGGACTGCTCGATCATGTAATCAACGATTCCTGGGAGCAGGGCACACGCCTGAGCAGGGGCACTAAGAACTGCCCACTTCCCATGGCCCATGCCTGCCAGCCCCCAGCACCTTCAATGGCAGCTTCCTGTTAGGGAGTTTCCCTTCCCCACTGTAGTGGGAGAGAAGGGAGTGGCCATACCATATTTTTCTCGTGGGCCGTTGTAGTCATAAGGCCTTCCTTTGCGGAAAATTTTCAGGGTGGGATAGCCAGAGACATCAAACCTCTTGGCCAGGTCTGTTTCTGCGGTGGCGTCGACCTTTGCCAGGGGAATTGGAGGAGAACGCTTGCTGAGCTCCTTGGCGGCCTTCTCATACTCGGGGGCAAGTTTCTTGCAGTGTCCACACCTGCCAAGAGGAAACTGGTTTGTCAGGGGCTCATTCTAGTGTGGACTCACTTTCTAGCTAAATGAGCTGCAGAAACCCATCCTGTGCTCCCTAGTAACCTGGCCACACCCAGTAAGCCTCCGAATGCCTCCTAGACCCTCAGGCCCTCAGGTGCTGTTGAGGGCGCTACCGCTGGACAGACACAAACTTCATCCCACAGCATTCACACACTGGGGGTGGAGCATGCGTACACACATGTACAGGACACAGACAGGACATTAGTAACTGCGGCACAGGGGAAAACATGGAGAGGCCAAGAGAGACACTGTCCTGAGCAAGAGGACTTTCTTGGTTGGAGAGTTGGGGGCCAGCAAGGATGTAAGTCATAGATGGCTTCAGAGGAGGAGTAGCAGTGGAGCTAGGATCCAAGGGACAGCGAGGAATTAGCCAGGAGCCCACGGGAGGTGGGGCGAAGAGAGGGTCGGCAGGTCCAGGTAACAAGAACAGAGGCATGGAGAACAGAAGAGCGTCACAAACCCTCACTGACACAGACCACCCAGGGAGGAGATGAGGGAGAGTCCCTTGGAGTCAGTATTGCGTCACACAGCCCATTGCCCACAAGAACTGGCCGGGCGCAGTGGCTCACTCCTGTAATCGCAGCACTTTGGGAGGCCGAGGCAGGTGGATCACCTGAGGCCAGGAGTTTGAGACCAGCCTGGCCAACATGGCAATACCCCGTCTCTACTAAAAATACAGAAACTAGCTGGGCATGGTGGTGGGCGCCTGTAATCCCAGCTACTCGGGAGGCTGAGACAGGAGTATCGCTTGAACCCAGGGGGCGGAGGTTGCAGTGAGCCAAGATCGCACCACTGCACTCCAGCCTGGGCAACAGAGCAGGACTCCGTCTCAAAAAAGAACCAACATCCCACACCCAGCTGGGGCCTGGCACACAGGAGGCTCTCAGTCCTGAGTTAAGATAAAACACCATCCTGTCAAAGTCCTTAGGACACCCAAATGAATTAAAGGGTGCATCTTGCAACTTCAAAACCATTTGTTGGCTGGCACAGTAGTTCATTCCTGTAATATCAGTGCTTCCAGAAGCTGAGGCGGGAGGGTCGCTTGAGGCCAGGAGTTCAAGACCAACCGGGGCAACATAGCAAGACCTCATCTCTAAAAATATTTTTTATATTAGCTGGGCGTGGTGGCACACACCTGTGGTCCCAGCTACTAGGGAGGCTGAGGCAGCACAATTGAGCCCAGGAGTTCAAGGCGTAGTGAACTATGATGGTGCCACTGTACTCCAGCCCAGGTGACAAAGCAAGGCCTTATCTCAAAAGAAACCTAAGAAAACAAAACAAAAAAAACAAACAACCTCCCACCACACACACAAAAACACATCAAAAGACCAAAAAACTGTTTGTGAATAAATGGATAATTATCTTCTGAGGCATCATCAACCACTTCAGGGAAATCGCACTACACTCGCTGAGCGTGCACTGTGCAGCAGTCGGCTCAACCTGGCTCCTGAGCGAGCCACAAAGCAACCCACCAGTTAGATGTGCAGCTGCCACTCTCCCTCTCACACCTCCCACCCATCAGGCCAGGGCCCCATGCATAGCGAAACAAGGGTCTGTGTCTCTCCAGCATCGCAAGGGGGTTAGAAGGGTGCCCCACGTGTCCCAGACGCTTCCTTCCTTCTCTCCCAGATCATTTCCTTCTCTAACCACCCACCTGACTTCACTTTTCATCTGCACATCCAGCAACTCCCAGGTTTCTGCTGCAGAATCTGTGGCCTCAGGTTTGGGCTTATCCAGGCATTGCCTGGAACAAGGGTGTCCTGGTCCCAAACCTGACCCCACAGTGCAGAAGGTGCCACCCACCCCCCGGCCTGTGCATCAGCCATGGCCTCCACCTGCTGGTTCTAGGCCCAAAAGCTTCCTCTGCTTACTGACTCTCCCAGACTCCCTACAGAACACACCCATCTGAGGCGGTTCTTGGTGGCCTGATGGTCAGACATACCAGGACTGCTCAAGAACCAGAACCACAGCTGACCCACCACAAAATCACCAAGACAGATGGTACCCTGGGCCGTCTCCTGGGAAGGCAGATGGTCTCTCCTGAAGCCAGGCTCCCCTCTCCCTTGAGAGCCGTCTTCTTCCGCTCTGCTCTCTACTCTGACTGCTGCCAGCTTATCCACGCAACTGGTTGTGCGTCCCTCCCCTCCCCTCCCCATGAAGCAGCCACCTCAGTTCCCCAAGCTGGGCAGCTCAGACCAGCCACTGTACTTGCTCCCACTCCGACCACCTCTCTTTCTGCCATCTTCTTTCCTTTGGGTCCCTTCTCCCACCCAAGAATGGACTACTTGGCAGTTCCTTCCACATTCACTCCCCCAACAGCTCTCTTACATCCACGCTTCTTCCAGAAGACCTGGAGCCTCAATCCTGGCCTACAACTCGTGCCCACCTTGCTCCTCTGCTGTTCCTGCCTCACGGGCAGGGGCCTGCCACCCCGCACCTAGTGCCCACCAGGGTACTGAATATGGAAAGGGCCTGACACCACCTTACCATGGGGCATAAAACTCCACCAGAATGATATCTGCATCATTCACAACTTCATCAAAGTTCTCTTTGGTCAACACAAGCGTGACTTCTGGTGGAGGCGTCCAGTCGGGCTGGGAGACTTCTCTGACCTTGGCAACAATTTCTGAAAGAAACCAAGCAAGACTGAGCACACAAGGCCCAAACTGGCAGGCACTTCACCTCCCTCCAGAAGCAGATGAGGAGGGGGAAGAAAGCAAGTGTCGGGGCCCACAAGAACAGGAGGTGTCTGATTTCCTGAAACCTGGCTGCATCTCTGCAGTTTTGGGGACACAGCCAAGAGTCAGAAGGTTCGCTATTTCCCAACAATTGTCCATCGCATTTCCACAGCCTGCAGACTTCTCCAGAGGGCCTAAGACTTACTGATGGTTGAGACTTCCTTTACCATCAGGCTATGGTACTAACTCCACGCAAACCCTCACCAACTCCCAATGGTTTTGATTACATATGCCTATGGATAGCATTGTGGGGCATCTCCTGAACACATACAAAATATATACATATTTAGTCATTCACATCTAATGTTACTATATTACATACGTCATAAGATGTATGCAAAAAAAAAAAAAAAAAAAGGAAAAATTTAAAAGAGGAGCAGTAGCTCCCATTGCTCAAGGTGCAGTGGCATTACCTGAGAAGGCTTTTAAAAAATGCCCATCTGTGGCCTCATTCTCCAGAAATGGACTCCAGGGCTGGAGTGGAACAATAAATTCGTACAAAAAATGTGCCAAGCAGTTCTTAGGACGAGTGGTTGCAAACTGTCACTCTTTTTCCCCACTGCAGAATCTACCAAGGAGCCAAATCTACAGCCACTCCTGCAAAGCTGCAGTCTTCAAACTGAAACGTGCACAAGCACCTCCTCTGCGCATTCGCAGCATGAAGTGTCTGTGCCCTGCCCCCCAGACCACACCCAGGGGTCCTGAGGCACTTAACACATAGGAGGCCTCTTTATCAAAACATAGCATACACTGCTCTAAAGTTTGCAAAACAGCCAAGTCTCTTGCAGTCAAATGTTGGCCACAGACCTCCAAACGCATATGCCTGTTTACTTCACAACAATAGAAGTACTCAACTTTTAGGCCAGGGGTGGTGGCTTGCCTGTAATCCCAGAACTTTGGGAGGCCGAGGTGGGTGGATCATGGGTGGTCAGGAGTTCAAGACCAGCCTGGCCAACATGGTGAAACCCTGTCTCTACTAAAAATACAAAAATTAGCCGGGCGTGGTGGCACATGCTTGTAACCCCAGCTACTCGGGAGGCTGAGGCAGGAGAACCCACTTGAACCCCGGAGGTGGAGGCTGTTCGGTGAGCCAAGATTGCACCACTGCACACTCCAGCCTGGGAGACAGAGGAAGACTCCATCTAAAATAAAGAAGTACTCAACTTTCAATTTGTTTTAGATTAAGTTCTTTATGTATGGATATGGCTAAGACATATCTGTTAAATAAAAACATGAAGGTACAGGATAGTATTTGACATATACTAATAACTGTAAAAATGAGAAAATCTCTCTCAGACAGATACACACACACACCTGCTTTTATGCATACAAAATATCTCCAAACACAGAAGAAACCTGTTACACTAGTACCTTTTTTTTTTTTGAGACAGAGTCTCGCTGTCGCCCAGGCTGGAGTGCAGTGGCGCGATCTCGGCTCACTGCAACCTCTGCCTCCCGGGTTCACGCCATTCTCCTGCCTCAGCCTCCTCCACACACCAGCCACCTGCCACCACATCCAGCTAATTTTTTATATTTTTAGTAGAGATGGGGTTTAACCATGTTAGCCAGGATGGTCTCGATCTCCTGACCTCGTGATCCACCGACCTTGGCCTCCCAAAGTGCTGGGATTACAGGCGTGAACCACCGTGCCCAGCCTACTAGTACCTTCTTAGAGGGGAGCTGGATCACCCAGGTTCAGGGAAGAAAGACTATTCATTAATCTACCTCTCTGAATTACCAAGTTTATAAATGTATTACCTAGTCAACAAACTGTGACACTAAATATCAACGGAAGCAAATCCATTCTCTTTGTATACGCCACAGTGAGTGCCATTGCTTAAAGGAGCAGAGGAGAGCCTCTCACACCACCTCAGAGATGTGATCTCAGATTACATCCAACTGACACCATGCTCCACAGATGAGATGCCAAGGCCTGGCAAGGGCAAGGCGCTCGTCCAGAACACAGGCCTATCTTATGTCTATGAGGACCGGAAGCCTATTCAACGCTCTTTCCTCTACTCCACACTGGGAATGGAAAATGCAGCCGCATCTTTTTTTTTTTTTCTGCCAGTGATTCAGAGAGATTTGCCCTTGCTAAAGGATACCATGTTCATTCAATAAAATTAAATAATTTTATTAAAATAAGAGGCCGGGCACAGTGGCTCACGCCTATAATTCCAGCACTTTGGGAGGCCGAGGTGGGCGGATCACCTGAGGTTGGGAGTTTGAGACCAGCCTGACCAACATGGAGAAACCCCGTCTCTACTGAAAATACAAAAATTAGCCGGGCGTGGTGGTGTGTCCCTGTAATCACAGCTACTCTGGAGGCTGAGGCAGGAGAATCACTTGAATCCGGGAGGTGGAGGTTGCGGTGAGCTGAGATTGCGCCATCGTACTGCAGCCTGGGCCACAGAAGCAAAACTCCGTCTCAAAAATTAAATACATTTTATCAAAATAAAATTAAATATTTTATCAAAATAAAATTAAATACATTTTATCAAAATAAAATACATTTTATCAAAATAAAATACATTTTATCAAAATAAAATTAAATACATTTTATCGAAATAAAATTAAATAAAAATCAAATAATTTATTTGTTCATTCATTTAATAAAATGCATGTAGTGTCTAATGTGAGCCAGGCAGGGATCCATCAGGCCAGATTGCAGACATCCTCAGAGAATCCCTGGATGTGGCTCTCTGCACCTGTGGTTCTCAGCACATGGCTTTGAGCCAGCAGCAATTTTGAGCATGCAGCAGCCCTGCATGCTTGTAAGAAATGCAAATTATTGGGCGGGCGTGGTGGTTCACGCCTGTAATCCCAGCACTTTAGGAGGCCAAAGCGGGCGGATCACGAGGTCAGGAGATCGAGACCATCCTGGCTAACATGGTGAAACCCCGTCTCTACTAAAAATACAAAAAATTAGCCGGACGTGGTGGCAGGCGCCTGTAGTCCCAGCTACTCAGGAGCCTGAGGCAGAAGAATCGCTTGAACCCAGGAGGCGGAGGTTGCAGTGAGCTGAGATCATGCCACTGCACTCCAGCCTGGGCAACAGAGTGAGACTAAGTCTCAAAAAAAAAATAAAAAAGAAATGCAAATTATCTGGCCTGACTTGTACTGTATCTGGCCTGAAATGTGCTGAATCAGAAACTCTGGCGCTGGGGCCCAGCAAGCTGAACAAGCCCTCCAGATGACTGACGCTTGCTAAACATTAAGAACCAGTGCTCTAGACCACCACCAAGACCCGTGACCTCTGATGTCATTTCCTTACACTCCTGTTTATTTATTTTTTGAAACAGAGTCTCATTCTGTCACCCAGGCTGGAGTGAAGTGGCACAATCTCAGCTCACCGCAACCTCCGCTTCGTAGGTTCAAGCGATTATCCTGCCTCAGCCTCCCAAGTAGCTGGGATTACACTCATGAGCCACTACACCCAGCTAATTGTTGTATTTTTAGTAGAGATGGGGTTTCACCATGTTGGTCAGGCTGGTCTTGAACTCCTGACCTAAAGTGATCCAGCTGCCTTGGCCTCCCAAAGTGCTGGGGTTACAGGTGTGAGCCACCATGTCTGGCCCATTTCCTAACACTCCTGCCCATGTTTTGAGTTTCAGAGTCTGAAATGTAAAGATGCCACGCCCCAACCCACCCTGCCCACCCCACTACTCCCCCCTCCTACCCCCCCACCCCCACCCCAAGAGCAAATAAACATTCCAGAGGGCTAAGGTTCCTGAGAAAGTCAGTCCCTGGTACCCTCAGCTTTTCTTCCTCTATTAGCCAAATTCCCATTCCCTGCGGGAAGGAGTTCTTCCTCTACGAGCTCAGGTACCAGCTCACCTTCCTGGGTTCTGGAGCCCTCGTAGTCTACAGCCTGCCCCTTCTTAAGGATCTTGATGGTGGGGTAGCCACTCACATCAAACCTGCTGGCCAGCACAGACGCTGAGGTTGCATCGATCTTGGCAACAGGAATGGGAGGATCTTTATCCTTTAATATGTTGGCAATTTTTTCATATTCCGGAGCAAACTGCTTGCAATGTCCACACCTAACAATTAGATTAGGAAGGGCAAAAAACGTTAACTGTACCTATGGGATTTAAATCCAACAATAATACATACCACTTTGGTTTGGATGTGGTTTGTCCACACCAAAATGTTGAAATCTGATCCCCAGTGTGGCAGTGTTGGGAGATGGGACCTAGTGGGAAGGGTTTAGGTCTTAAGGGTGGATCCCTCATGAATAGGCAAATGCACTTTCACGAATGTAGTTTAAAAGAGCTTGACATGGCCGGGTGCAGTGGCTCACACCTGTAATCCCAGCACTTTGGCAGGCTGAGGCAGGTGTATCACCTGAGGTCAGGAGTTTGAGACCAGCCTGGGCAGTATGGCGAAACTCCATCTTTACAAAAAATACTTTGGGAGGCCAAGGTGGGCGGATCACTTGAGATCAGGAGTTCAAGACCAGCCTGGCCAACATAGTGAAACGCTGTCTGTACTGAAAATGCAAAAATTAGCTGGGCTTGGTGGCAGGCGCCTGTAATCCCAGCTACTCAGGAGGCTGAGGCACAAGAATTGCTTGAACCCAGAAGGTGGAGGTTGCAGTGATCAGAGATCATGCCATTGCATTCCAACCTGGGCAAAAGAGTGAAAATCTGTCTCAAAAAAATTTTTTTTTAATTTCTCAGTTTTAACTTCAAATATGGTAAATATTGATAAACATGACCCATATAAAAAGCCCTCTGAGGTCCTCACTTCTTAAGAATGTTAAGGTCTCTTTGAACTAAAAAGTATGAAATCTGATAATTTATGAAAGAGGAATAATATAACCTCATAGAGTCTTGCTCTGTCGCCCAGGCTGGAGTGCAGTGGCACAATTTCAGCTAGTTGCAGCCTCCCCCTCCTAGGTTGAAGCAATTCTCCTGCCTCAGCCTCCCGAATAGCCGGGACTACAGGTGCGTGCCAACCACCATGCCTAATTTTTGTATTTTTAGTAGAGATGGGGGTTCACCATGTTGGCCAGGCTGGTCTCAAACTCCTGGTCTCAAGTGATCTGCCCGCCTTGGCCTCCCAAAGTGCTGGGATTATAGGTGTGAGCCACCATGCCCGGCCTATTTCCATGTTTTAAATAAAACACTTGTGCTACGCTTGACCCTCAGGCACTGGACAAAAGTGAGTATATCCTATTTGGTCTCAGAAGTGAAACAGAAAGGGCATGAGACAGAAGAGCAAAGCAGGGGTCATGAGATTCAAAACAGTAGAGGAGAAGGGATGAGAGGGACACAAGAGCTCTAACGGTCTGCACTAGGAGGAGTAAAGACAGGAAAAGAAGTGGGGATGCCTGACTGGTCCCCCCGCAGGGCCTATGTGTGTAGTAAAAAATCCACCACACAGGCCAACAGCCTGCACTTGGGGCAGCTGCCTGAGCAACAGCCTTTGAGGGAAGAGGAAGGCAGGGTGGCCTGAGACAGGTCGGAGCAGAATCTATAACAAGGACGTGTCTGTTACCAACACAGGGCTCTGTGTCATTGCCGCTTGTTAAATGCCCGTCCCCCAGCTGTGACCATCAGAGGACGTATTCATCTTTAACCCACTGGACTGAGACAAGAAGACATCGCCTTCCATGAGGGCTGGCTCACTGGCCGTTCAACGCACAGTGGTAGAACGAGTGAGCTCCCAGCGTTCTTAAAGCTAGAGTGCAAGTTCCTGCACCCAGACACTCCTACCCCACCCCCCAAGGTCTGGATGACCGGGTGAAGGGCTGAGCGAATGGAGCACAGCGCTTGTCCACCTGCAGAAATTAGAACGCGGTCCTTACCATGGAGCATAAAACTCCAGCAGCACTGTGTCTTTGTCAGCCACAAAATTATCAAAGTTTGCATCATTTAGGACCAAGACTCCATTTTCTTCCTTAACTTCCAAGTCGTCTTCTTCCTCATCATCATCTTCCTCCTCCTCCTCCTCTTCATCCTCAATGGCATTTTCTCTGTTAGAAGAATCTGAGTGGAAAACACCCAGACTGGTTACAAAGCTGGTGGTGACTCTCCTTAAAACTTTCCTGGCCGGGCGCGGTGGCTCACACTTGTAATCCCAGCACTTTGGGAGGCTGAGGTGGGCGGATCACGAGGTCAGGAGTTCAAGACCAGCCTGGCCAATATGGTGAAACCCAATCTCTACTAAAAATACAAAAATTAGCCGGGCATGGTGGCACGCGCCTGTAGTCCCAGCTACTCGGGAGGCTGAGGCAGAAGAATCGCTTGAACCTGGGAGGCGGAGGTTACAGTGAGCCGAGATCGCGCCATTGCATTCCAGCCTGGGTGACAGAGTGACACTTCATCTCAAAAAAAAAAAAAAAAAAAAAAACTTTCCTAAAATTCATACACTTCAGAATGTGTCAAGTCCCGGGTGGTCCCTGGGGGCCCACCACGTCATTGGCTGGTGACATCAGGCCTCCCTCATGCCAGCTGTTCTAAGTTTGCTACTTAAAATTTCATTCAGAGGGAGGTCATGGCTAAATAATATTTGAAAACCACAGCTCTAGAATATAAAGTCCAAATGTCCCAGGGGAAGTTGGAGGGCAGCACAGACTACCCTACCCTTCCAGAGTCGCGGCCCCCTGCCTTGCTCTGCAAACCCTGCCCTGAGCCCAGACAGCCTCCGCATTGGCCACCTCCTCCCTACTTCCTTGTACCACCCTCTGCGGTCTTCCCGGGCCTCGCTCCTGTAGCTCGGGCTCCCCTACCCACATCCCACACTCTGCATTTCAGGGCACCGCATTTCGTGATCTCGCCCTAGCTTGTCTGTGTTCAACGTTATTGCTCACTGATGTGCCGCCTCCTCCTCACCCTGTATGCTTTCCACAGGCAGGGCCTTCAGTAACACCTCCCATCAACAAATTATCTGCCTGGCCCCAAAAGAGTACCAACAGGAAACAAGTACTCAATCTTTTCACTGCAGAGGATGGAATACTAATTCCATTTCTGAAAGGGGGTGGCATTTTACCTCATACCCATAAAAAATAGCCCTTCAGGTTTTATAATCCTTGAGGAAAAGGCTCAAGTGTGAAGGGGAAGAGGGCGGGAAATCTCATTTTACTTATAAAGGCACCCCTGAGTAATTTCCAGGATAACAAATATAGAAATTGATGGGGTCAACATGTATCAAAAATCACACCTTTGCTTGGAAGCTAAGTTTTCTTCCTAGAATGTGAGAAATTGTGTATATTTTATTTTCAAGGTTCAACTTATTTTATTTTATTTTTTTTGCCAAACCACAGATACAAAGAACATGGAATTGCCATTTTTATTAACCAGGTTCTCTGGCTACTGTCACACCAGTAAACTGAACTGGGCACAGCAAGCACGGCAATTTCATTAACGCTGAAGCCAGAATGTTTCCGGGGCCAATTATTCTTTTCTGGAGATGTGTTTTCCAGGAGGTAAATGAACGCTGCTAGTTACTGTTTTGGGCTGTGGATGAGGTCAGGGTCTGAAAACCTGCCCCTGGGATCCCAGAACTCCTGGGGCTCACCAACCCTGATGAAGGAACCCCGCGTGGACTCTGTGGCTGCCTAGCCACGGAGGCAGCCTGCACCCACCCCACATGGCTGTGCCTGCCCTCTGCTCCTCCAGCCTACTCCTTGGGTCTGTGCCGGGCAGGGAGAAGGGGGCAGCTTTGTTCATCACTGTCAACATGTACCAATCTGCAAACTTTACAAAAAAGCCAACAAGAAAGCCCACTGGCACACACTAGTCACCCGCACTCAGTCCTCTTCCTTTTAAACATCCCACAGCTTTTCCTGACTTGCACATTCCTGTTTCAACTTAAGGCTTAGGATCCTCTTTTGTCGGAGGAGGGAGAAAGAGCTCTAAAATGCCAAAAGCAAACCCACCCATCTGAGATGAGCCTCCTGCCTGCCACCCCTCCCTCCACACCAGGAACTCCCTAGGCACTGTCAGAAGTTCATGGAGGGCAGAACACAGAGAAAGACAGCCTGGGCGCAGGCCCACCTCCCCTGGGGTCTCGGGACTGCGTGTGTCTGACAGTACAGGCAGGGGCCAGGCTGACATCTCCCTGTGGAGCAGAGGGAAACCCAGTGTTCCCAAGGTTTTCTGGTCTCCCTTTTCAGATCATTCTAGACCCCCAAGAGGGAGAAAAAAGAAAAGATCCTCTGCTCTGTGCTATTTAGAAAATCTTGCCCACTGTATTTACCTGTGTCTTTGAATGAATCGTGTGAGGCTGAAATACACATCTTGTGCTGATGTCATTAAGACTAAGCCCAAGTATTAGGGTTGGTGCAAAAGTAATCGAGATTTTTGACATTTTTTTTTAAATCCTGGGTGGTCCCTGAGGGAGACCACCAGGGGCCCCGGCTGGCAGTTAAGTAGTGCTTTGGGACCATCCATATCCACTCTCACTACCTAGCTGCTCTGCCCAGTAGGAGTCAAAGTTACTTGCAAGCAGATGGATGGGAAGATTGGAGGAAGGTCGGAAATAATGCACTGGGGAACTTAATCAACTCTTCCAGGTAGGAATCACAGCTAGGAGAGGAAGGGAAACTAATTGGCTCGGTGCACAGCATAAGACTGACGTTTGCAGCGAAGAGGCCTAAAACATGACCACATAGACAACTCCTTTACAGGGTGAATTTTACAAAAAACAAAGACGTCTTCTTACCTATGGTCGGCCTCAAGTGGGCTCTCAACATTACAATGTGACAGAGCTCTCATGATTAAGTGGGAGCTGACTAGTCACCATGGGACACAGCATTCCTAAGAGGCAACTTCTTTCTTGACCCTTTTAAAAAAATGAATTTTGGCGAGACATGGTGGATCACGCCTATAATCCCAGCACTTTGGGAGGCCAAAGAGGGTGGATCATCTGAGGTCAGGAGTTTGAGACCAGCCTGGCCAACATGGCAAAACCCCGTCTTTACTAAAAGTACAAAAATTAGCTGGGCATGTTGGTGCATGCCTGTAATCTTAGCTACTTGGGAGGCTGAGGCAGGAGAATTGCTTGAACCCAGGAAGCAGAGGATGCAGTGAGCCGAGATCACACCATTGCACCCCAGCCTGCGTGACAAAGCGAGACTAACAACAACAAAAAAGAATCCCATTATCTTTTTAAAGAATAAACAAAATGATAGGACATTCCCTATGTAATTAAGGACTCTCAAGGCCCCTACCTTTCCATTTCCTCCCCAGCTCACAGACAAGCCAGGATTGATTCCTCTGCAATTTGGGAAGGTGCTAGCTCTAGCCTTCTATCTACCAGAAACCCACACATCCCTGCAAGCAAAACAGTCCACATTTTAGTGGGGGAACACTTTTCACTGGGCTTCATTTTTAAAGGTGGACATTCTAGGATAGAAAATACATCCAGGGCCGGGCATGGTGGCTCATGCCTGTAATCCACGTGCTCCTCTGGGAGGCTGAGACGGGCAGATCACGAGGTCAGGAGATTAAGACCCTCCTGGCCAACATCGTGAAACCCTGTCTCTACTAAAATACAGAAAAAAGTTAGCCAGGCATGGTGGCACACACCTGTAATCCCAGCCACTCGGGAGGCTGAGGCAGGGGAATTGCTTGAACCCAGGAGGTGGAGGTTGCAGTGAGCTGAGATCGCACCACTGCACTCCAGCCTGGCGACCGAGCAAGACTGTCATTTAAAAAAAAAAAAAAAAAAAAAAAAAAAAGGCCAGGTGTGATGGCTCACGCCTGTAACCCCAACACTCTGGGAGGCCGAGGCAAGCGGATCTCCTGAGGTCGGGAGTTCGAGACCAGCCTGACCAACATGGAGAAACCCCATCTCTACTAAAAATACAAAATTAGCTGGGCGTGGTGACACATGCCTGTAATCCCAGCTACTCGAGAGATGACGCCATTGCACTCCAGCCTGGACAACAAGAGTGAAACTCCATCTCAAAAAAAAAAAAAAAATATATATATATATATATATATGTATGTCCAGAGCCTTTCAGCACCCTCTGAAAAGATGCAACCTTCCTCAGCATGAGACAAATGAATTCCCAAGTTCATCTCCACATTGCTCAGCCCACATGCTAAGGCCTCTCCTGAAGTGGGGGACCCTCACCTGAGCAGGTTGCCTCAATCCCTGTCCACTCCCACGGGGCACACCTGATGACAACACTGGGTCCTGCTCAGACACAGGCAGCTCCTTTTAGGATGTCCTCACTCTCCGTCCTCAGCTGATCACTCTCATCTCCCCCAGAGAAGTGCCTGAAACAGCTGCATAAACTCTACCATTCAGCCAATACTGAAGAGTTTGTATTAAACACAGAAACAAGAACTGTTATCAGCTACGGTAACCATGATAGCTGGTATTTATTGTATGTACCAGGCACTGTGCTGGGCTCTTAAACACACCACTTCACCCCTTAAGGGAGACTGTATTACACGTTATATTGTATCTTACAGATGAAGAAACTGAGATGCAGGAACTTGAGTCACCTGTCCAAAGATCACAAAGCTACTTAGCGGAGGGTCCTGACCACTTAACTGCTATGCTGTATTGTCACATTAGATTTTCTTCCCAATACGCCCAAAGTTTTTGGTGGAATCATTTAGAGTTTCCACATTTTTATGGCTCCGAAAATAATTATGTCTCAGGAATGAAAAGAGGAGGAGAGTTTAACAGTTCCTTAGCACGAAAAATAGGTGAATTTCTACTTACTTTTAAATCTAAACAAACCAATACCACATAAAAGCAGGCAACAAACAGGATCAGAATATTTTCCTTTCCTGTTTTAGCATGAAGGATGTGTAGAGTGCAGGCACCTTCTGAGACACGGAAAGCCCTGCAACCGGAGGCTTAAACCATCAGAGCTTAGGGTGTATTTAGTAACCATGTTGGGGGAAGGAGGGCATTTAAGTACCTAGACACCACTGTGCTGTCTAAATCTAAAATGTAACAGAAGCAAAAAGAAAAAAAAAAGCCTCGAGACTTGAAACACTTGAGGGGTGAGGTAGTGCAGACTTGAAATAAATCTGTTGGACAAGTTATCAGTGAATCTATGACAGGTTTTGACAGTGAATGGCCGAGGGATGCCCTCAGGGATGAGAAAGGGTCAAGGTAAGCCCACACCGTGGCTCACGCCAGTAATCCCAAACACTGGGAGTTTAAGGATGGAGGATTGCTTGAGGCCAGCCTGGGCAACATAGTGAGACCCCATCTCTACCAAAAAAAGAAAAAAAATAGCCAGGCTGGGCACGGTGGCTCACTCCTGTAATCTCAGCACTTTGGGAGGCCAAGTCAGGCGGATCACGGGGTCAGGAGATCGAGACCATCCCGGTTAACACGGTGAAACCCCGTCTCTACTGAAAAATACAAAAAATTAGCTGGGTGTGGTGGCACGTGCCTGTGGTCCCAGCTACTAGGGAGGTGGAGAAAGGAGAATCACTTGAACTCGGGAAGCAGAGGTTGTGGTGAGCTGAGATCGCGTCACTGCACTCCAGCCTGGGCGACAGAGCCAGAAAAAAAAAACAGCCAGGCGTGTTGGCAAGCACCTACAGTCCCAGCTCCTCGGGAGGCTGAGGCAGGAGGATCCCATGAGCCCAGGAGTTTGAGGCTTAAGTAAGCCATGATCAGGACAGTGCACTCAAGCCTGGGCAACAATGCGTAACCTTATCTAGGAAAAAAAAAAAAAAAAACGGAGCTAGAAGTCCCAGGAGGCCTGCCCTTGGCCATGATGACCCCTGGGATTCCTAGGCTCACCCTAGGAGCAACTGCTTCCCAGGGACTCTTCTGTGTTAAAGACCTCTGACCGGAAGGATAAACTTGCTGGTCCTAACAGCTCCTAAAGCCACTCTCCCAGGCCTCTCAAGAATCCCCCCAAAAACAGAATCACTGGATCAAAACCAAGACAGTGCTATATGCTTTTCCGCTATGTTCCAAAAAGCATCTTCCACCCACACTGGTCCTCAACTTTCACTGTGCCTCCCGAAGTTAATTCTATGTCTCAAGGGAAAACTGACTTAAAACGCAGATTCCGGGGCCCACCCCTGCATTCTGCTTCAGTGTATTTTGGGTATCTGTATTTAAATAAACACTATTTAAACAAACATGATTTGGGTAAAGGTCTCAAGACACAATTTGTAAGCAGTCCCGCTATCGGATTCCTTTCGGCAGGTGTTTTTCTCGCCGAGTGTGGGTTTTTACTTCCTTTTCTATTTGGGCAAAGACTCTTTTTGAATCAGTGACCCACGCAGAAGTTACTCAATCTGTTTGAAAGAGTATAAAGTTCACGATTTCCCTACACACTAACATTATCAAAGAGTGTATATTTATATTAGAACAAACTCAGAAGGTTAAAAAGCTAGTGATTAAAAGTAAGGGCAGAGAGGAAGAAGGTAAAGACCAGTACCTGGATGCCTTATTCTCTAGGAATAACAACTTTTCCTTAATTAGCACTTCCTAATCTTCAGAGTTCTTATGTCTGCAGCTAGCTCACTTCGAAGAAAAATGCAGGGACCATGAAGTAGTTGTTACTATTCCTACTGGAGTACGCGCTTCATGGGCAGGGACCACACTCACAATCTTTTCCTCCCAGAACCCAGTACAGGGACTGGCACACAGTAAATGCTAAATGCAGAAGGAATGGTATCTCTAGTTTCTCAAAGGTGCAAACCAAGCCATCCCTTTCTCCAGAATCTATGGATTAATCATTTCCAAATCTACAGACCACATTTTGAAAAGGAATGCTTGCTGTTCCAAAGAACTCGCACTTGTTTCTTCACGCCCTCGCCCCTTCTCTCCAGTGGCTCTCCCTCTCCCTTCCCACTGCCTGGGCGCGTTCGCCTGGAGTTAGCCTGGACCTGACGAAAATCTGTAAATTAAGGCGAAGGACCCAGCTGCAAAAAAGGCGCTCTGCAGCCCTCTCCCAGCCTCGGGTGACAGGGGTCTTCCAGGGCGTCGGAGCCCAAGAGACCCCGGCCACCTTCCTCTCCCGGGAACCCCAAATCGATCCTGCCACTGCCACAGCCACCGCCCCCGCCCCTTCAACTCCGCCAAGTTTACCCCGGGCTCGGCGCCCATCACTAGTTCTGGAGCTGACCGCGCGGAAGCCCGCCCGCCGGGGTCGCAGGGCCCAGGCCCCCGCACAGCTCTGCAGCCCCCGCAAGCACAGCCCGACCCGCGGCGCGCTTGCCGCTCACCCTCGTCCGGGCCCTCGGCACCCGCCACGGCCAGCAGCTGCACCAGCCCCAAGAGCAGCAGGAGCAGGAAGGCTTTCCGGGGCCTCATGGTAGCGGGGGCGGAGCGCGGCCTCCTAGCGTCGGCGGCCGCTGAGCGCACCGAGAACTCGGGGTCTGGCCGACAGCCCGTCGCTCCTTAGCGACGCGGGGGAGCCGGAAAAACCCACGGAAGTCGTCCCCGGCGATTGGCAGGGGGCGGAGGAAGTCGCGGGCCGGCCAATCCCAGACTGACGCCGGCACGGACCGCGCGCGCCTCGGCCGCGACGAGTCGGCTCCGCCGCCCTAGGCCCTCCCTACTCCTGCGCGCGGCCCTCGGCTGCGCGTTTAAAACTCCGAGCCCTAACGTGAGGTGCCCCCTTCTGATTGGCTGCGCCACAACCACCAATCAGCGGCTGCCACTCGGTTTGCCGGGAGCGCACAGGCCAAGAGGGAGAGCGGGGGAGAACAAAGGCGGCGGGCCGGGCACGGGGAGTGCGGGACCTGGCTACGCCTCGGGGCGCTATTGGCAATCGGTGCCGGGGGCGGGGCAGGAGAGGCGGAGCCTGGGAAATGTGGAGCGGGGCGGGGCTCGGCTCAGCATCCTGCGGCCGAACTTGGCAGTAAGAACACGTGTCGGTACCGGAGCGGTGGGGAGCAGTGGCGAGCAGGGCGGTCCTCGCAACCCGCCGGGGCTCTGGGAAGCTGGAGACCAACGCGGGCGGAGGAGCACGAGCCTGTTTGTTGCTAGAAAGGGGCTCCAAGTCCGCTGCATGTTCGTGGCCTTCTTAATTTCTTTTTCTGCTCGAGCAAATAAAAGTTTCATTTCTCTCCGGAGTATTGAGCTAGAGAGCGGGGAAGAGCATGCAGTAAAGTGAATCCAGACTAGAATCTGGGGAAGCCTCTCTCCAAGGTTGCATCTCGGAGAAACAAGCCATCAGATTCTTGTCTAAACTTTGCCTCGTCTTATTTAGTTTTCTAGTGATTTTCTGCAAAAGGAAATACCAGATAGGCAATCTAGTGGTTTACATAGATCTGAATAAAAGCTTGAGGTTTTCCCTCTTGACCACTTTGGAGAAGAAAACTAGGTTAAGATGACGATTTTTGTATGTCAGAAAAGAAGCCTGTAATGTGCATTAAGTTTGAGACTTTTTTTTAACACCTGGGAGTTTGAGAAGGCAAATAGGGAAAAGAAAAAAAATAGAAACTCAAGTTCAGGAATATTTTCTCGTGTGTGCAGATTATTACGTGAGGAAGAAAAAAGGGATAACTCACAGACCTTAGCAATTAAAAATACTTAATTTTTTTGTTGAATGCCTATTAATCTGATGGTTCCTGGTCAATTTTGTAGGGCAGAACATTATGCAACTGTACACACTGATTTATTAGAGTGCTATGAATGTGGGCCACCAGACAGTTCGGTATCATGTTATTTTATTTTTTGAGACAAGAGTCTTGCTCTGTCACCCAAGCTGGAATGCAGTGGCGCCATCTCCTCTCACTGCAACCTCCGCCTCCTGGGTTCAAGTGATTCTACTGTCTCAGCCTCCCGGGTAGGTGGGACCACAGGCGCCCGCCACCACTCCCTGCTAATTTTTATATTTTTAGTAGAGACAGGGTTTCACCACGTTGGCCTGGCTGGTCTCAAACTCCTGACCGACCTCAAGTGATCCACCCACCTCGGCCTCCCAAAGTGCTGGGATTACAGGTGTGAGCCACCGTGCCCAGCCTTAATATCATGTTAAAGATAGACCTGTTCTTCAAAAAGACAAGTCAGAGTTCTCATCTTTCTTCTTGTTTCCTATGACACTGTTAAACTGAGAGGAATGAGGACCCCATTTGCTCAGTGGTGGGAGAAACACAATTTCACTGGCCTTTTGTTGATACAAAGATAGGAAGAAGGCTCTTGAAGTGCTGTCTGTATATGTGTATAAACACACATATATCTTGTGACATTAAAGTAACAATGTTCTTTTTGAAAGCATTTAGGGTATAGCTATAGAAGTTCATTCAACAAAACAGAACTTTATCAAGTTGGAAAGCTCCTTTCTCTTTATCCCTAAATTTTTCACTCAATTTTGTTATGGGTACAAACAGCACTGTGTTGAGGGTCAGAATGGAGAGAGATGAGAAATGATACTTCCATGACTATATCCAAGATCTCCACAGTTGGTTGTTGTAAGCGTAGAGAGGCTGTCTGTCAAATCATAGATATGAGGCCGGGCACAGTGGCTCACTCCTGTAATCCCAGCACTTTGGGAGACTGAGGCAGGCGGATCATGAGAGGTGGGGAGTTCCAGATCAGCCTGGCCAACGTGGTGAAATCCTGTCTCTACTAAAAATACAAAATTAGCTGAGCATGGTGGCGCGTGCCTGTAATCCCAGCCACCTGGGAGGCTGAGGAGGCAGGAGAATCACTTGAACCCTGGAAGCGGAGGTTGCAGTGAGCTGGGATTGCGCCACTGCACTCCAGCCTGGGCGACATAGTGAGACTCCATCTCAAAAAAAAAAAGAATCATAGAAACGGACCCTAGTTTGGAAATTCATTCATGTAAATGAACTTCTCCCTGGTTTATCCCCAGAGCTGTGATTTAACACTATTATGCTGGGTTTACAGACCAATTTGAACATGCATTTTCCTCTGCTTCTGCATAGACTTACTAGAGAAGAGGTCACACCACTGCATTCAGCCTGGGTGACAAAGCGAGACCTTATCTCAAAAAAAAAAAAAAAAATCAAAGATCAATCAACTATAAATTTAATCTCTGTAATAGATATAGGGCTATTCAGGTTATTTCTTCTTCAGTGAGTTTCAGTAGTTGGTGGGAATTTGTCCATTTCATATAAGTTGTCAAATTTATTGACATACAGTTTTTGGTGATATTTGCTATGGTCTGAATATCTCCCAAAATTTGTATGTTGAAACGTAATTGCCAATGTGGTAGTAATAAGAGATGGGGCTTTTAGGAGGTGATAAAGTCACGAGGGTAGAGCCGTTATGGATGGAACTGGGGCCCTTACAAAGGGTTTGAGGGAATGGGTTCATTCTCATCACCATGTGAGCACACAGCGTTCATCCCCCATGCCCTTCCATGTTCCGCCTTCTACCATGTGGAGATGTATTAATGACAAGAAGGACCTCACCAGACACTGAATGCCAGCACCTTGATCTTGGACTTCCCAGTCTCCAGAACTGTAAGAAATAAATTTCTGTTCTTTGTAAATAACCCAGTCTATTTTGTTATAGCAGCAAGAATGTGCTAAGAGAATATTCTTCTCTCATGCTTTAAATAACTTTAGAGTCTGTAGTGAGGTCACCTCTCATTATTGATACTGATAATTTTTGTCTTCTCTCTTTTTTAATGATGAGTCAGGCTAATGGTTTATAAATTATATTGGTCTTCTCAAAGAACCAGCTTTTGGTTTCACTGATTTTCCTTATTGTTTTCTATTTTCTATTTCATTGGTTTCCATTTTAATTTATATTATCTTTCTTCTGCTTATTTTAGGTTGTATTTACTGTTTTCTTTATAGTTTCTTAAAGTGAAAGTTGACATCATTGATTCGTGATCTTTCTTCTCCTTTAATATGGGCATTTTGTGCTATAAAATTATTCCTAATTACTGCTTCAGACCTTAAATTAGGCAGGTGGAGATGGTGGCTATAGGGGAGTCTGTGTAAAGAATTAGAATGAGGAGAATTTGAAGAAAAGCAGGTTATTTGGCAAGCTGACATATAGTGAAAGGAGGTGCAGCACGGGATAATAAAGATGGAGAAAGAAGGAGCCAGGCGATAAAAGGTTTAGCTTGAGGGCAGTAAAATATCAGTGAAGTAGGTGAGTGTGGCATGATAATATTTGCATTTTATAAAGATCACTCTGGGGGCCATGTGGGAGCAGATGTGACTAGAGTCAGAAAGACCAAATAGAAGGTGGTCTCACACTAATCTTTTCTTTTTTTTTTTTTTTTGAGACGTTGTCTCACTCTGTTATCCAGGCTGGAGTGCAGTGACACCGTGTTGGCTCGCTGCAACCTCTGTTTCCTGGGTTCAAGCAATTCTCCTACCTTAGCCTCCCAAGTAGCTGGGATTACAGGCGCCCACCACCACACTCAGCTAATTTTTTTATATTTTTAGTAGAGATGGGGTTTTACCATGTTGGCCAGGCTGGTCTCAAATTCCTGACCTCAGGTGATCCACCCGCCTCGGGCTCCCAAAGTACTGGGATTAGAGGTGTGAGCCACCGCGCCTGGCCTGTTCTCACAGTAATCTTGATGACAGATGGTGGTTATAGTTGGGGGTAAAGAAAAGTAGGTAGCCTAGGCCGGGTGCAGTGGCTCACGCCTGTAATCCCAGCACTTTGGGAGGCCAAGGCGGGTGGATCACGAGGTCAGGAGATTGAGACCATCCTGGCTAACACGGTGAAACCCTGTCTCTACTAAAAATACAAAAAAATTAGCTGGGCGAGGTGGCGGGCGCCTGTAGTCCCAGCTACTCGGGAAGCTGAGGCAGGAGAATGGCATGAACCCGGGAGGCGGAGTTTGCAGTGAGCCCAGATAGCGCCACTGCACTCCAGCCTGAGACACACAGCGAGACTCTGCCTCAAAAGAAAAAAAAAAAAAGTTTGATATTCCTTGATATTTTAATATTGAATAATTTTACGGTGCCCTTTTTAAAACTACAGAAGTATTTAGGTGAATTACATTAAATTGTCATCACGTGCTGTCTTTGGCAGCAATATACTAAGAATAAATAAATAATTGGAACGATACAGAGAAGATTAGCATGGCTCCTGGGCAACGATGACACAAATTTGGGAAGTGTTTCATGTTTTAACATAAACCAATCATAAATTCTCATCAAAGCTGACTTCATTGCTATTGTACAAGAAGCCTTATAGAAAGATACATATTCTGTTTTGTTTTTTTTTTTTTTTTTGAGACGGTGTATCACTCTGTCGTCCAGGCTGGAGTGCAGTGGCATAATCTCAGCTCACTGAAACCTCCGCCTCTCAGGTTCAAGTGATTCTCCTGCCTCAGACTCCCGAGTAGCTGGGATTACAGGCATGTGCCACCATGCCCAGCCAATTTTTGTATTTTTAGTAGAGATGGGGTTTTACCATGTTGACCAGGCTGGTCTTGAACTCCAGACCTCAGGTGATCTGCCCGCCTCGGCCTCCCAAAGTGCTGGGATTACAGGCGTGAGCCACTACACCCAGAAGAAAAGGCTGTTGTCCTCCCACAAATCAGACTTCTATATACTGCTAAATTCAGGAGAAAAACTATGCAATGAGGACGGGAAAAGGAATCATATCAGAGTTCGAACTTGTCTAGTATAAGATTAGACAATACGTGACATATTGTGTCCTAGTTTAGGACATTATAGTTTTATTTAGAAATCCAGAGAATTGGCCAGGCGCGGTGGCTCACGCCAGTAATCCCAGCACTCTGGGAGGACGAGGCGGGCAGATCACGAGGTCAAGAGATTGAGACCATCCTGGCCAACATGGTAAAACTCCATCTCTACTAAAAATACAAAAATTAGCTAGGAGTGGTGGCGGGTGCCTGTAGTCCCAGCTACTTGGGAGGCTGAGGCAGAAGAGTCGCTTGAACCCGGGAGGAAGAGGTTGCAGGGAGTCAAGGTCGCACCACTGCACTCCAGCCTGGAGACAGAGTGAGACCCCGTCTCAAAAAAGGGGGAAAAAAAAAAAAGAAAAAGAAAGAAATCCAGGAAATTATCTATGTGGCTCAGGTCAAAATAAACTAAAGTAAAAAAATATCTTTTTTTTGAGACAGAGTCTCACTCTGTCTCCCAGACTGAAGTGCAGTGGCACTATCTCAGCTCACTGCAACCTCTCCCTTCCAGGTTCAAGCAATTTTCATGCCTCAGCCTCTCGAGTAGCTGGGACCACAGGCATGCACCACCACACCCAGCTAATTTTCTTTTTTTTTTGAGACAGAGTCTCACACTGTCACTCAGGCTGGAATGCAGTGGCATGATCTCGGCTCACTGCAGCCTCTGCCTCCCAGGTTCAAGTGATTCTCCTGCCTCAGCCTCCCGAGTAGCTAGGACTACAGGCACAGGCAACCACGCCTGGCTAATTTTTTGTATTTTTAGTAGAGACGAGATTTCATTATGTTGGCCAGGCTGGTCTTGAACGCCTGCGCCTGACCTCCTGATCCACCTGCCTCGGCCTCTCAAAGTACTGGGATTACAGGCATAAGCCACTGCGCCTAACCAATTTTTATATTTTTAGTAGAGATAGGGTTTTGTCATGTCGGCCAGGCTGATCTTGAGCTCCTGACCTCAAGTGATCCACCTGCCTTGGCCTCCCAAAGTACTGGAATTACAGGCATTAGCCACTGTGCTTGGCCTAAAATACAATATTTTAATTTTATTATTTTTATTAATTTGTTTATTTTTGAGACAGAATCTCACTCTGTCACCCAGGCTGGAGTGCAGTGGCATGATCTTGGCTCACTGCAACCTCTGCCTCCTGGGTTCAAGTGATTCAAGTGATTCTCCTGCCTCAGCCTCCCAAGTAGCTGGGATTACAGGTGCACGCCACCACACCTGGCTAATTTTTATATTTTTAGTAAAGATGGCGTTTCACCACATTGGCCAAGCTGGTCTCCAACTCCTGACCTTAGGTGATCCACCCACCTCAGCATCCCAAAGTGCTGGGATTACAGGCATGAGCCACTGCACCCAACCTCATAAAATACAGTATTTTAAAAATTCCCTGTGTCTTACATATTTTTTTTAATTTAAAGAGTCTTTAGAAATCTCATGAAATCAGTGACTAAACCAATGTCTTTTAGTCTTAGACAAGGGGAGATAACTATGTCCTCTCAAAGGTTATTCTTTCCCAAGGTATAATTAGAAATTTAGTAATGTGTATAAAAGTCTTGGTTTATTTACTCCCTGGAAAATGAAGGCAGAAACAAAACCAATATAATGCATTGCAGGCTCTTCTTTTATGATGTGACATACTTCAACACATTACCAAATGTTTTTACTTCTCAGAAATCAGCCTTAGATACCCCAAATGTTTAAGAACAAAAATAAAACAAAACAAAAACACAACCTGTCTCTATGCCTCTAAATGTAGGTTAGAATTTTTGCCAGGATACTGGGGCAATTTTGAAAGCCTGAATAGTTGAATCCTCTTCCATAGATATTAATTCCCAACCTATTTGAAATAGAAAAGTTCATGGATAAAACTAAGAAAATGGCCAGGCGCAGTGGCTCACACCTGTAATCCCAGCACTTTCGGAGGCCAAGGCAGGCAGATCACCTGAGGTCAGGAGTTCAAGACCAGCAAGGCCACCATGGTGAAATCCTGTCTCTACTAATAATACAAAAAAATTAGCCAGGCGTAGTGGCATATGCCTGTAATCCCAGATACTCAGGAGGCTGAAGCAGGAGAATTGTTTGAACCCGGGAGGCGGAGGTTGCAGTGAGCCAACATTGCACCATTGCACTCCAGCCTGGGCAACAAGAGCAAAACTCCGTCTCAAAAAAAAAAAAAAAAAAAAAAAAAAAAAAGCCTAAGAAAATAAGTGTACAGCCATAAAAAAGAACAAAATCATGTCCTTTGCAGCACCATGAATACGGCTGGAGAGTGATATATCCTAAGTGAATTTCTGCAGAAACAGAAAACCAAATACTGCATGTTCTCACTTGTAAGTGGTAAACATTTGGTACACATGGACACAAAAATGGCAATGGTAAATACTGGGGATCCCAAAAGGGGGAGGCAGTGAAGGGGCCAAGGGTTGAAAAAGTACCTTATTGGGTACTATGTTCTCTACTCAGGTGATGGGATCATTAGAAGCCGAAATCTCAGCATCACGCAATCTACCCGTGTGACAAACCTGCACATGTACCCCCTCAACAATCTAAAATTAACAAAGAAGAAGTATACTCACCTAAATTGGTACCACCCCTGCTCTGTAACACAGTGTTCCCTAAGAAGAAATCCTCCTAGCACTGGGCCTGGCCAAATTGACAAGACACCAAGTTTGATTTGGGAAGACATACATAGAGATGCAGTTTGCTTCTTCTAAAAACTTGGTCTTGGCCAGGCATGGTGGCTCTCACCTATAATCCCACCAATTTGAGAGGCTGAGGCGGACAGATCACTTGAGGTCAGGAGTTCAAGACCAGCCTGGCTAACATGGTGAAACCCTGTCTCTACTAAAAATACAAAAAATTAGCCAGGTGTGATGGTGCATGCCTGTAATCCCAGCTACTTGGGAGGCTGAGGCAAGAGAATCACTTGAACCGAGGAGGCAGAGGTTGCAGTGAGCCGAGATCGTGCCATTGCAGTCCAGCCTGGGTGACAGAGCAAGACTCCATCTAAAAACAAATAAACAAAAAAAGAAACAAACTTGGTCTGAAAGTGTTACCAAAACACCAGAGATTTGGTCTAGGTCCTGCTGCTTGTCGCACAGAAAGCCAATCACTGAGACAACTGGTATTGCCAAGGAAAAAGGCTTTAATTGGGTGCTGCAGCTGAGGAGATGGGAGCTCAGTCTCAAATCCATCTCTCTGACTAAAACAAGGGATGTATAAGCAGGGAAAAAAATGTAACAATGTGTAAGCAAACAGGAGCTAGGGAGGGGAAGGAGGCATCTGGTGTGATGATCTGGTGAGTTTCAGTTCTTTGATACTTCCTGAAGGTCCTTTCCTGAGGAAGGAACTCAGATAAAACAAAAACAAGTTTCAAGCTTTAAGAGCAAAAGGGTCAATTTCTATGTTTATCTGAAAACAACTGTGATGGGACTATGGGGCCAGTTTCAAAAGTGTATCTCTGCCTCTCATGCTAGACCAGTCGTCACCAGCCTGTTCACCCACTTGGCCCTTGATCATCCTCACCTCCATGTGTTAACCTCACTGTGCTCCACCTCAAAATGCCTGCACTCACTTTCCTGCAATGATCTACCCAAGTTTCACCTTTTCCTGAAGACTTAGCCAGTTATTCCAGCCCACATTAAACTCTTTCATGCTTGGCATTTCATTATTTGCTTTTTTTTTGAGACAGTCTCACTCTGTTGCCCAGACTGGCGTGCAGTGGCATGATCTCAGCTCACTGCAACCTCCGCCTCCCAGGTTCAAGTGATTCTCCTGCCTCAGCCTCCCAAGTAGCTGAGATTACAGGCGCACCACCATGACCAGCTAATTTTTTTTGTATTTTTAGTGGAAATGGGGTTTCACCATGTTGGCCAGGGTGGTCTCGAACTCCTGACCTCAAATGCTCCACCTGCCTCAGCCTTCCAAAGTGCTGGGATTACAGCCATGAGCCACTGTGCCTTGCCTCATTATTTGCTATTGTAGTTGGTCTTTATTTAATGTACATTTGTCTTCCCCTGCAAACATTATATTCACTGAGTGAGGTGTGTTTTTTTGTTTGTTTGTTTTTGACACGGAGTCTCACTCTGTCGCCCAGGCTGGAGTGCAGTGGCGTGATCTCGGCTCACTGCAAGCTCTGCCTCCCAGGTTCACGCCATTCTCCTGCCTCAGCCTCCCGCGTAGCTGGTGTGTCCAGAATTGGTGGGTTCTTGGTCTCACTGACTTCAAAAATGAAGCCGCAGACCCTCGCGGTGAGTGTTACAGCTCTTAAGGTGGCGTGTCTGAAGTCAGTCCCTTCTGATGTTCAGATGTGTTTGGAGTTTCTTCTTTCTGGTGGGTTCGTGGTCTTGCTGGCTCAGGAGTGAAGCTGCAGACCTTTGCGGTGAGTGTTACAGCTCTTAAGGCAGCGTGTCTGGAGTTGTTCATTCCTCCCGGTTGGCTTGTGGTCTTGCTGGGCTCAGGAGTGAAGCTGCAGATCTTCGCGGTGGGCGTTACAGCTCATAAAAGCAGCGTGGACCCAAAGAGTGAGCAGTAGCAAGATTTATTGCAAAGAGCAAAAGAACAAAGCTTCCACAGTGTGGAAGAGGACCCGAGCGGGTTGCCAATGCTGGCTCGGGCAGCCTGCTTTTATTCTCTTATCTGGCCCCACCCACATCCTGCTGATTGGTAGAGCCAAGTGGTCTGTTTTGACAGGGCACTGATTGGTGCGTTTACAATCCCTGAGCTAGACACAAAGGTTCTCCACGTCCCCATCAGATTAGTTAGATACAGAGTTTGGACACACAGGTTCTCCAAGGCCCCACCAGAGCAGCTAGATACAGAGTGTCGATTGGTGCACTCACAAAGCCTGAGCTAAACACAGGGGGCTGATTGGTGTATCTACAATCCCTGAGCTAGACATAAAGACTCTCCACGTCCCCACCAGACTCAGGAGCCCAGCTGGCTTCACCTAGTGGATCCCACACCGGGGCTGCAGGTGGAGCTACCTGCCAGTCCCGCGCCGTGCGCTCGCACTCCTCAGCCCTTGGGTGGTCGATGGGACTGGGCGCCGTGGAGCAGGGGGTGGCGCTCGTCGGGGAGGCTCGGGCCGCACAGGAGCCCATGGAGTGGGTGGGAAGCTCAGGCATGGCGGGCTGCAGGTCCCGAGCCCTGCCCCGCGGGAAGGCAGCTAAGGCCGGTGAGAAATCGAGTGCAGTGCTGGTGGGCCGGCACTGCTGGGGGACCCAGTACACCCTCCGCAGCCGCTGGCCCGGGTGCTAAGTCCCTCATTGCCCGGGGCCAGCAGGGCTAGCCGACTGCTGCGAGTGCGGGGCCGCCAAGCCCACGCCCAGCCGGAACTTCAGCTGGCCCGCAAGCGCCGCAGGCAGCCCCCGTTCCCGCTCGCACCTCTGTCTCCACACCTCCCTGCAAGCTGAGGGAGTGGGCTCCAGCCTTGGCCAGCCCAGAAAGGGGCTCCCACAGTGCAGTGGTGGGCTGAAGAGCTCCTCAAGTGCCGCCAAAGTGGGAGCCCAGGCAGAGGAGGTGCCGAGAGCAAGCAAGGGCTCTGAGGACTGCCAGCACGCTGTCACCTCTCACTGGGACTACAGGCACCCGCCACCACGCCCGGCTAATTTTTTTGTGTGTATTTTTAGTAGAGATGGGGTTTCACTGTGTTAGCCAGGATGGTCTCAATCTCCTGAGCTAGTGATCCGCCCACCTCGGCCTCTCAGAGTGCTGGGATTACAGGCGTGAGCCACTGCGCCCAGCCTGAGTGAGTTTTGAAATACTGTTGCCATTTTCCTACACCTGAATTAAAGTGTCCCCCAAAATTCATGTCCTTCCCAGAACCTCAGACTGTAACCTTATTTGGAAACAGGGTCATTGCAGATGTAATAAATTAAGATGAGGTTGTATTGGAGTAGAGTGGGTCCCTAACCCAATCTGAGTGGTATCTTTATACGAGTAGACACAGACATACAGAGGGAAGATGGCCATGTGGTGACATATGCAGGGATTGCAGTGATGCAGCTACAAGCGGAAGAACACCAAGAATTGTTGGCAACTGGGCCTGGCAAGGTGGCTCACACTTCTAATCCTTTGGGAGGCTGCTAAAAAATAAAAACAAAGCCGGGCACAGTGGCTCACACCTATAATCCAAGCACTTTGGGAGGCCGACACAGGCGGATCACCTGAGGTCAGGAGTTCGAGACCAGCCTGGTGAAACCCTGTCTCTACTAAAAATACAAAAATTAGCCAGGCTTGGTGGTGGGTGCTTGTAATCCCAGCTACTTGGGAGGCTGAGCAGGAGAATCGCTTGAACCGAGGAGGCGGAGGTTGCAGTGAGCCAAGATCGTGCCATTGCACTCCAGCCTGGGCGACACAGTGATATACGGCCTCAAAAAAAAAAAAAAAAAAGACTAGAAGGGACAATTTCTATGTTTATCCAAAAAAAAAAACAAACAAAAAAAAAACTGTCTGTGGGACTATTGGGTCAGTTTCATATACATGAAAGACTCCTCTTGAATTCATTTCCGTGTTGCCCAGAAAACATTCCCCATATGGGTTGTTAGAACAACGACAAAGCAAGAATTGGACATGAAAGGACCCACTGCTGTAAAACTTTAGACAAATAAAGAGTCGATGCACTGAGAAGTGTTCAGGAAGGCTGGGTAGGAGAGTTCACGGGTCAGGGAAGGAATGCCCAGACAGAAAACGACTCCACAGCCACAGCTAAGGCAACGAGTAGAAAAAGAGAAGAAGCCTTTCCAGGGAAGCTTCAGATATTTCTCCCGTCAGCTGTGAGTGAGGAATTGGGGTGGAGGCTGATGGGACACCAGCAATTGCAGTTCAACTGCAAGGAATCGGGCGTGGGAAAACCTGGCCTGTTAAGCCTTAACCACACACAGAACAGAACCCAGGTGTCCCTAGAGAAGTGCTGAAATGAGATAAGAAATGGGAACTAACTTGAGATACTACATTTATTTGTAATATGAATAGCAAAATATATCAGGGGCACATGTCGGGACCTCTTGGGGCTGTGTCATGGAAATAAAAAAAATTTAAAACAGGCCGGGCGTGGTAGCTCATGCCTATAATCCCAGCACTTTAGGAGGCCGAGGCAGGCAGATCACCTGTGGGCATGGTGGTGCATGTAGTAATCCCAGCTACTCAGGAGGCTGAGGCAGAAGAATTGCTTGAACCCAGGAGTCGGAGGTTGCAATGAGCCGAGATCACGCCACATGCACTCCAGCCTGGGCGACAGAGCGAGACTGCATCTCAAAAAACAAAAATTAAATAAATAAATAATAATAAAAATAAAAACTCATGAACTAAGAAAGAAATACTTCCATGTGACAATTTTTCTTTCTTCCTAGACTCAGAGCCAATTTAATTGAAGGAGTGTGGTCAAGTTAGAAAGAACACTAGACAGAGTTAAAATATCTGGGTTTGGCTGGGCGCAGTGGCTCACACCTGTAATCCCAGCACTTTGGGAGGCCAAGGTGGGTAGATCACCTGAAGTCAGGAGTTTGAGACCAGTCTGGCCAACATGATGAAAACCCATCTCTATTAAAAATAAAAAATTAGCTGGGTGTGGTGGCGTGCTCCTGTAATCCCAGCTACCTGGGAGGCTGAGGCAGGAGAATTGCTTGAACCCAGGAGGCGGAGGTGGCAGTGAGCTGAGATCGCGCCATTGCACTCCAGCCTGGGTGACAAGAGCAAAACTCTGTCTCAAAAAATAAATAAATAAAATATCTGAGTTCTAGTCCTAGGGTGAGGACAACTTCTCTGGGTCTTAGAACCTTTATCTCAGACGTAGAAATAGAGTATTTCCAGTGTGTCTTCCCAGTCTTCAGCTGTGACTCAGCTTGGGCTTATCAGAGTTGCACTGTCCCTCTAAATCCACCCAGGGCTGCACGTCTTTTATTTACACAGACACACATACCCACAATTTCATATGTGTGTGTGTGTGTGCATGCATGTGTATGTATGTCTATATATTAATATATAATATAATGTATACTATAAATCGACCAATGAACAAGCCAGCATCTCTTATCCCATCTAGAAGATCCAAGGCCTACTAGTTGTCATTTCCATTTCCCAAACCCGAATCCTGCCAATATGACAAGAATACTAAGAAAAGGAATTTGGATCATGCCATTGTATAGCTTCAAATGTCAGCACCCTAATCCCGTCTAACTTGCTCCAAACAGCCACGCTTTTATGCTCTTCAAATACAAATGCTCGTTGGCATGAAGGTGAACCGCCCTTTCCATTTTCTCCTTTTCCCCTCAATCTGGGATATCAAATCTGGTGTCAGAATGGCATAGTCTGCACAGAGAGGATATCATGAGGTGGTTTAGTTTCCTTGAGCTTTATGTGTGAAAGCACAATCAGGGGTGCTAGAATTCTGATATTTTACTACAGGCACAAGATACTGGGGGACATAAAATCAAAACAAAATCCCCAAATCCTGAAGACCCTGTGATGCCAGGAAGAGAAAATAAAGCCACTCATACTCCCAGGACTGTAGCCTTTGTTTGGAATTGGGGTACCCATTTTGCTACACTTTTCATGCAACTAAAAAGCACAGTGTGGCATATATTGTATGGTGGTAGTAGAAATACTGCTGTAGGAGGCCGGGCGCAGTGGCTCACGCCTGTAATCCCAGCAATTTGGGAGGCTGAGGTGGGAGGATCACCTGAGGTCGGGAATTCAAGACCAGCCTGACCAACATAGCGAAACCCCATCTCTATTAAAAATACAAAAAAATTAGGTGTGGTGGTGGGTGCCTGTAGTCCCAGATGCTAAGGAGGCTGAGGCAGGAGAATCGCTTGAACCCTGGAGGCGGAGGTTGCAGTGAGCCGAGATCGTGCCATTGCACTCCAGCCTGGGCAACAGACAAGAAAGAAAGAAAGAAAGAGAGAGAGAGACAGAGAGAGCAAGAGAGAGAGAAAGAAAGGAAGGAAGGGGGGGGAGGGGGGAGAGGAGGAAGAGGGAAGGGGAGGGGAGGGAAAGGGAGGGAAGGGAAGGGATGGCTCCAGGATAAATGTTGTCAGGAATGCTGCAGGTAGCAGCTCTCACCAGCATCTAACTGAAATAAAAGGGCCTTGTTGCTCAGAGCCCAACGGCTGTTCCAACTGTTTTCCAAGGGGCTGGACAACAATGTCCAAGAAGTAAGCAGTGGAGCTGGCTGGGTTGTAGTTTAGGAAGCAAATGCCAGAAGACAGTGGGAGCCCTGGAGTGTGGAATGGGGAGTCTGGGACTGGAGGGCTGCAGATATTAGTCTCAGTTCCCTCCTTACAAGGACTTGGATCTGCCTTCCGTCAAAATCACACATGAACTGTTTTAACCAAAAACACATTTCTGACCAGGCACAATGTTGCCCAGGCTGGTCTCCAGCTTCCAGGCTCAAGCGATCCTCCCACCTCGGCCTCCCACAGTGCTGGGATTACAGGCCTGAGCCACACACCACCTAAAGTCATTTTAAAAAATAGATTTAGAGGCCAGGTGTGGTGGCTCACGCCTGTAATCCCAGCACTTTGGGAGGCTGAGGCGGGCAGATCACTTGAGGCCAGGAGTTTGAGACCAGCTTGGGCAATACAGTGGGATCCTGTCTCTACTAAAAATACAAAAATTAGCCGGCCATGGTGGTGCATGCCTGTAATACCAGCTACTTGGGAGGCCGAGGCATGAGAATTCCTTGAACCCAGAAGGCGGAGGTTGCAGTGAGCCGAGATCACACCATTGCACTCTAGCCTGAGTGAAGAGCAAGACTCTGTCTCAAAAAATGAATAAATAATTAAAAAATTGGCCAGGCACGGTGGCTCATGCCTATAATCCCAGCACTTTGGGAGGCCGAGGTGGGCGGATCACGAGGTCAGGAGATGGAGACCATCCTGGCTAACGTGGTGAAACCCCCTCTCTACTAAAAATACAAAAAAATTAGCTGGGCGTGGTGGTGGGCGCCTGTAGTCCTCAGCTCAGGCTGAGGCAGGAGAATGGCGTGAACCGGAGAGGAGGAGCTTGCAGTGAGCTGAGATAGCACCACTGCACTCCAGCCTGGGCGACAGAGCGAGACTCTCTCGAAAAAAAAAAAAAAAAAGATTTGGAAGTACAGCATGGTGACTACAGTTAACAATATCGTGTTGTATACCTGAGACGTGCAGAGAGTAGGTCTCAAGTGTCCTCACCACACAAATGGTAACTAGGGAAGGTGGAAGATATGTTATAGCTTGGTCATGGTCATCATTTCACAGTGTACATGAATATCAGATCATCACTACACATTAAATATATGCAATGTTTATTTTTCAGTGAGACCTCAAAAAAGCAGTAAAAATGTTTAAAGATATGGAAATAAGTGTATGTGTAAAGATGTCTCTGTGCTCCAGGTATGCATGTGTTCCATGTATGCACGTGTGTTCTATGTTCACATGTGTGATCCATGTACGCACGTGTGTTCTGTGTTCACATGTGCTTCATGTGTGTACGTGTGTTCTGTGTTCGCATGTGCTCCATGTGTGCACTGTGTTCTGTGTTCGCATGTGTGTTCTGTGTTTGCATGTGTGTTCCATGTATGCACATCCTAGCTCTGCCCACTGAGAGGACCTAGACATGGCCACACTTAAATAGCCACGAGCACATCCCGTGTCCAGTTCTTGGCTTCTAACCATTCTCCATTAAAAGGAGCAAGGGCTCCTTTGAGAAATGGTTGATTGCAGTATCAGGACAGGGAAAATATAAATGAACCCAGAACATCTTTTTGTGCCAGAGAGAGCAAGGAAGTTGCCCAAAGAATGCCAGGGACATGCAAAAGGCACAGATGTCTGTGTACAGGGCTCCCACTGGCCAAATCTGAGACAGAGCATCAAAATAATGAGAGAGAAGGATTACAATGCATGGGATAAAACAGGACTACAGGAAATGATGAGTCATAGAGGTATAAAATCTGCAGAGGAATAAATGAAAAACTCCATGAGGAATGGGATATTCACATGATTTCAAATTACCCCCACAAAAATCACAAAAATACTAGAAAGTTATCAAGACGGGGGAAAAGGGGCCAGGCGCGGTGGCTCACGCCTGTAATCCCAGCACTTTGGGAGGCCGAGGTGGGCGGATCACGAGGTCAGGAGATCGAGACTGTCCTGGCTAACACAGTGAAACCCCGTCTCTACTAAAAATACAAAAAAATTAGCCGGGCGTGGTGGCGGGCGCCTGTAGTCCCAGCTACTTGGGAGGCTGAGGCAGGAGACTGGCGTGAACCTGGGAGGCGGAGCTTGCAGTGAGCCGAGATCGCGCCACTGCACTCCAGCCTGGGCGACAAAGTGAGACTCCATCTCAAAAAATAAAAAATAAAAAAATAAAAAGGGGGGGAAGCAACTTCCTTATTTATAGTGGAAGAATCTGGCAGACACTAACTTAAGTGATGAAAGTGAACATCACCAGTAATGAAACAAATTGGAATCGTGTGCCACCTGCTGAGTTGCAACAGAACACAGAATCGCTTCTGGACATGCTCCTCAAGAAATGACCCTGAACTTTCTCAGGAAGACAGACATAGCAGACACACCCAAATTAAGGGGCATTTGACAAAATAACTTTTCTGTAGTCCTGAAGAGCAGCAAGGCCACGGAAGTCAAGGACAGACTGAGACTGTTCTAGACTGAAAGAGACTAGAGAGACAGGACAGCTGAATACAGCAGGCGACTCTAAACTGGCTCCTTTTGCGAAAAGGACATTATTAGAACGATTGTCAAAACGTGAAGGGGCCCTAAGGATTGGCAGTTTCATTCCAGTTTCCTGGTTTTCATGGTTATGGTATCATTTTGATGGTATCACTCCAGTTTCCTGATTTTGATGGTGCCATTGTGGTTATGTAGGAGAATGTCCTTGTTTGGAGGGTAATGGAGCCTCAGGCAATTTACTCTCAAATGGCTGAGAATAAAAGTTCTATGCATTGTACTTCCAAGAATTGAGAGGACAGGATAAAGATGGATGGGCTTGGGAGGCCAAGGTGGGCAGATCACGAGGTCAGGAGTTCGAGACTAGCCTGGCCAACATGGTGAAACCCTGTCTCTACTAAAAATACAAAAATTAGCTGGGCGTGGTGGCGGGGGCCTGTAATCCCAGCTACTCAGGAGGCTGAGGCAGGAGAATTGCTTGAAACCAGAAGGCGGAGGTTGCAGTGAGCCGAGATTGTGCCACTGTACTCCAGCCTAGGCAATAAGAGCTAAACTCCAACTCAGGAAAAAATAAAAAAATTAAAAAAATTTAAAAAATACGGATGGGAATTATTTTACTAAGTGCAATCATGCTCTTCATACTATTCTTTTTTTTTTTTTTTAATAGATATGGGGGTGGTGGTCTCACTATGTTGCCCAGGTTGGTCTCGAACTCCTGGCCTCAAGTGATCCTCCCACCTCAAACTCCCAAAGTGCTGGGATTACAGGCATGAGTCACAGCTCCTGGCCATAATTCTTTTTTTTTTTTTTTTGAGACGGAGTCTTGCTCTGTCGCCCAGGCTAGAGTGCAGTAGCGCGATCTCACCTCACTGCAAGCTCTGCCTCCCGGGTTCATGCCATTCTCTTGCCTCAGCCTCCCAAGTAGCTGGGACTACAGGCGCCCGCCACCACACCCGGCTAATTTTTTGTATTTTTAGTAGAGACGGGGTTTCACCACGTTGGCCAAGCTGGTCTCGAACTCCTGACTTCGTCATCTGCCTGCCTTGGCCTCCCAAAGTGGTGGGATTACAGGCAGGAGCCACCGTGCCCGGCCTCCTGGCCATAATTCTTAATAAAATCATTAATTTAAATTTTACCTGAAGAAATTTAAATGGAAATTAAATGTGAAGAAATTCCTTAAGTTTAGAAAGGGGGTCTCTTAGCAAAGCCATATTTCTCCCTTCTTTGTTTACAGACTGACCAGTTTCAGGATAAGGCTGTTTCTTTTTTCTAGATATTTGCTGAGGGCTGAAACAAGCAAGCTGTTAATGCCTGAACTTTTTTCCTACCAAGTCCCTAGTGCTTCATATTAGTATGTACATGGTCAGGTCCCAAGAAACAGCAGGTGATAGCTCCCACCCAACAAAGACTGTCAACTTCCTGAACCAGGACAGTCCTCACTTCCCTCCATCCCACTCTTTGCGGCCAATTCCATAGTTTAGGATCTGTTACTTGCAACCCCCCATTTAGTTAACAATTTCTATGTCAGTTACGACTCTTTATTTTGTAAGAGAAAATTCAACTCTAAAGTGTCTTAAACAAGAAGGGAATTGTATTAGTTTTTATAACTGGCATCCTGGCATAGCATAACTTCAGGCGTAGCTTAATCCAGGGCTCCAATAATGTTAACAGGAGGAGGTTTCCCTGTCTCAGTTCTGCTTCCATGGTTTCATGGTGTTGGGTCAGCAGTTCGTACAGCTATATCCTTCCTCTTTTCTATCCAGTAGGAAAGAGGCTGCTTTCCCCCCATCAGTCATTCTCACTGAATAAGGCAGTTCTAATGTAATTTTCTTTTCTTTTTTTTTTTTTTTGAGACGGAGTCTGGCTCTGTCACCCAGGCTGGAGTGCAGTGGCGTGATCTCGGCTCACTGCAACCTCTGCCTCCCGAGTTCAAGCAATTATTCTCCTGCCTCAGCCTCCCGAGTAACTGGGATTACAGACGTGTGCCACCACATCTGGCTGATTTTTTTGTATTTTTACTAGAGATCGGGTTTTGCCATGTTGGCTAAGCTGGCCTGGAACTCCTGACCTCAGGGGATCCACCTGCCTCGGCCTCCCAAAGTGCTGGGATTACAGGCATGAGCCATGGCACCTGGCCTAATTTTTTTTTTTTTTTTTTTTTTTTTTTTTAGACAGAGTTTTGCTCTTGTTGCCCAGGCTGGAGTGCAATGGCACAATCTCGGCTCACCGCAACCTCCGCCTCCCGGGTTCAAATGATTCTCCTGCCTCAACCTCCCGAGTAGCTGGGATTATAGGCATGTGTCACCACGCCCGACTAATTTTGTATTTTTAGTAGAGATGGGGTTTCTCCATGTTGGTCAGGCTGGTCTCGAACTTCTGACCTCGGGTGATCTACCCGCCTCGGCCTCCCAAAGTGCTGGGATTACAGGTGTGAGCCACTGCGCCCGGCCTGTAATTTTCAAATAGTAAAATTACAGGTAGTTTTCTCTTCTCCCTGCATGAAAACTCAAAGGGAATGGCAGAAGGGGATAATTTTCTGTACAGTTACTTTCTTTCACCACTATGTGGATGTCTCATTGAGTCACTGCTGAATCTTCAATGCAAAAGTGACTTTAAAATGAAAGATGTGTCAGTTTAAAAGTCATCGAATGGGTAGGTCAGTGATATTCAATAAGGTGAAGAGAAAGAATAGAGATATTGGCCAGGCACAGTGGCTCACACCTGTAATCCCAGCACTTTGGGAGGCCAAGGCGGGCGGATCACGAGGTCAGGAGATCGAGACCATCCTGGCTAACACGGTGAAACCCCGTCTCTACTAAAAATACAAAAAATTAGCTGGGTGTGGTGGCAGGCGCCTGTAGTCCCAGCTACTCAGGAGGCTGAGGCAGGAGAATGGCGTGAACCCGGGAGGTGGAGCTTGCGGTGAGCCGAGATGGCGCCACTGCACTCCAGCCTGGGCAACAGAGTGAGACTCCATCTCAAAAAAAAAAAAAAAAAAAGGAATAGAAATATTTTGAAGTTTCCCAGAGTTTCCCATACCTGATAGAGCAAAGTGAGATTCTGATGACTAAAGTTAGAAGGGAACTTGATTCAAGAAAGCAACTTACAGTAAGCACCTCTCACTAAGGTCTGTCCCCGTCCTAACCAGGCCATGGCCTCCAGAAGTTTGACTGTATTTCTGTTTCATTACTTTTTCATATCCAGATGCTGCTCTTGGACAGCTTCCTTTCCCACTTTTCTCAGTGTCTATACAAAAGCTTTACCATATTACTTAAGTTCCCTACTTCCATTGTTTATCATCTTCATCCACAGCAGATATTTCATTTTCCGAGGCAAAAGGGACATAAACTTCTCTGCCTTCTGCACCAGTGGTGGTGGGCAGCCTCCAAGATGGTGCCCAGCAACCCCTGCTGTCCTGATCTGCTCATCTTTCTGCAGGCCCCTCCATCTAACTGAGCATGGAATGGACTTACTGCCTCCCTTCTCACACACAGGATACCAAGGAAATTATGAGCTATCACTTTTGAGATTAAGTTTTTAAAAGACGATGGCTTCCATAGTGAGTGAGCTCTCTTGTTCTTTCCAGCACTTGCTCTCTATCTCTCTGTGTCTCTGTCTCCATGGTGGAAGCCAGCGGCCATGTTGTGAAGCAGCTCTATGGAGAGGCCCATGTGGGAGGGACTGAGGCCTGCCACCAGCCACAGGAGAGAGCATGGCAGTGGAGCCTTCCTTCAGTCAAACCTTCAGATGAGACTGCAGCTCCAGTTAACAGCTTCTCGAACCTCATGAGAAGCTTTAAGCCAGAGGTACTTGGTTAAGCTGTGCCTGCATTCCTGTACAACAGAAGCTGTGAGATCATAAATGCTTGCTGCTTTAACCCACTAAGTATTGGGGTAATGTTTTACGCAACAATAGGTAATAGGTAGTTTGTCAATACTTAGCTCCAAAGGAAGGTCAGGTCCTTATTCCTTTTCAAAAAGAGCCCTTAGTCCCATCCCCTGGACCCCATCCCCTGTTTGCTTCACAAATTATGTCCTCTTTTTTTTTTTTTTTTTTTTTTTGGGAAGGAGTCTTGTTCTGTTGCCCAGGCTGGGGTGCAGTGACACAATCTTGGCTCACTGCAACCTCTGCCTCCCAAGTTCAAGCAATTCTCCTGCCTCAGCCTACCGAGTAGCTGGGACTACAGGCATGCGCCACCATGCCCAGCTAATTTTTGTATCTTTAGTAGAGACAGGGTTTCACCATGTTGGCCAGGATGGTCTTGAACTCCTGATGTCAGGTAATCCACCTGCCTGGGACTCCCAAAGTGCTGGGATTACAGGCGTGAGCCACTGTGCCCGGCTGCATCTTCATTCTTAAAAATCCTTACTTTGGGGCTGGGTGCGGTGGCTCACACCTGTAATCCCGGCACTTTGGGAGGCCAAGGTGGGTGGATTACCTGACATCAGGAGTTCAAGACCAGCCTGGCCAACATGGTGAAACCCCGTCTCTACTAAAAATACAAAAAAAAAAAAAAAATTAGCTGGGCATGGTGGCAGGTACCTGGAATCCCAGCTACTTGGGAGGCTGAGGCAGGAGAATTGCTTGAACCTGGGAGGCAAAGGTTTCAGTGAGCCGAGATCGCACCATTGCACTCCAGCCTGGGCAACAAGAGCGAAACTCCGTCTCAAAAAAAAAAAAAAAAAAAAATCTTACTTTGGATTCTTGTTTCACTTTGTAAGGTTTCTTCTTTATAAGGTTTTTTCCTCCTTTAACCCTCAAACCTGAAAGAAGGCCAGGTATGGTGGGTCATACCTGTAACCCCAGCACTGTGGGAGGCTGAAGCAGGTGGATCACTTGAGGTCATGAGTTCAAGACCAGGCTGGTCAACATGGTGAAACCCCGTCTCTACTAAAAATACAAAAATTAGCGGGGCATGGTGGAGCACGCCTGTAGTCCCAGCTACTCAGGAGGCTGAGGTGGGAGAATTACTTGAATCTGGGAGTTGGAGGTTGCAGTGAGCCGAGATTGTGCCACTGCTCTCCAGCCAGGGCAACAGAGCGAGACTCCATCTCAAGAAAAAAAAAACAAAGAAAAAAAAAACCTGAAAGAATAGTCGCCCACATAACAGGCTAGGCTTCCCCCACTGCCTCATCTCCCATACTTAATGCAATTGGTTTCTACTCCCTATGAACCCTAGAATCTCACCAATTGCCAGTGATGACATCTCTCTCTGTATCTCTGTCATTCTCTTTTTTTTTTTTTTGAGACCGAGTTTCGCTCTTGTTGCCCAGGCTGGAGGGCAGTGGTGTGATCTTGACTCACAGCAACGTCCGCCTCCGGGGTTCAAACGATTCTCCTGCCTCAGCCTCCTGAATAGCTGGGATTACAGGTGCACGCCACCACACCCAGCTAATTTTTTTTGTATTTTAGTAGAGACGGGGTTTCACCATGTTGGCCAGGATGGTCTCGGTCTCTTGACCTCGTGATCCGCCCGCCTCGGGCTCCCAAAGTGCTGGGATTACAGGCATGAGCCACCGCGCCTGGCCTCTCTCATTTTTTTTTTTTTTTTAGAGACAGGGTCTCACTCTGTCATCAAGACTGGAGTGTAGGGCACAATTATAGCTCACTGCAGCCTTGAATTCCTGGGCTCAAGGTATCCTCCTACCTTGGCCTACTAAAACACTGGGATTACAAACATGAGCAATTGTGCCTGGCCAACCAATAACACCTCTCATCACCACTTACAAAGGTCTCTTCCTGTGCTCTATTCCTGCATGAGGACTGTCTGACTGGGACTTACCTCACTGATTGCCTCACTGGTTAGGCGAGTAGCCACACTCACCACAAGTATTCACATCCTTGACTTCTTTGCAACAATCCTCTACTCTAGGGGTGTCCAATCTTTTGGCTTCCCTGGCCCACATTGAAAGAATTGTCTTGGGCCACACATAAAATACACTAACATTAACGATAGCTGATGTGATGGTTAATACCGAGTGTCAACTTGATTGGATTGAAAGATACAAAGTATTGATCTTGGATGTGTCTGTGAGGGTGTTGCCAAACGACATTAACATTTGAGTCAGTAGGCTGGGGAAGGCAGACCCACCCTCAATCTGGGTGGGCACAATCTAATTAGCTGCCAGCATGGCTAGAATATAAGCAGGCAGAAAATGGGAAGAGACTGGCCTAGCCTCCCAGCCTACATCTTTCTCCAATGCTGGGTGCTTCCTGCCCTTGAAACTCGGACTCCAAGTTCTTCAGTATTGGAACTCTTTCTTTGCTCCTCAGCCTGCAGATGGCCTATTGCAGGATCTTGTGATCGTGTGAGTTAATACTTAATAAACTCATATATATATAAACATACATATATATATTCCATTAGTTCTGTCCCTCTAGAGAACCCTGACTAATACAGATTTTAGTACCAGGAGTGATTCTAGAGGAACAGAATATTAAGGATGGAGTTCTTTTGTTGGTTTTGGGGTTTCTGGAGTCAGCTGCTTAATATGATTAGAAATGCTAAGGACTATACTTCTAATAGTTTGGAGAACACTGATAGTCCTTTAGCATGAACTGTTTAGAGAGTTGTGCAAAATAAATGCATTTGACACTCCTGATTCATTGCTTGTGAGAGGCAAGGAGTTTAGTGACTCTGTACCTAATACCTTTCACCATATGTGGAGAACCAAGGAACAAAATGAAGCTGGTTGGTTGCTTCTAAATTCAATGGACAGAGCGATGAAATAAAATAATGAACTCAGGGATTCTATTTCCCAGCTTCAGAAGCAGATACTGAGCCTCAAATCTGCTAAGATTGTCCTGAGAGTCTCATCTCCTGTAGAGAAAGAGCTGAAATTGTGGAAAAACTGACACAAGCTCTTATCATGTGAGTGGCTGACCTGCAGTGACAGGTGCATGCACAGCCTCACCAGGTGTCTACTGTTTTTTTGTTTGTTTGTTTGTTTGTTGAGATGGAGTCTCACACTGTTGCCCAGGCTGGAGTGCAGTGGCCCGATGTGGGCTCACTGCAAGCTCCGCCTCCAGGGTTCACACCGTTCTCCTGCCTGAGCCTCCCATGTAGCTGGGACTACAGGCACCCGCCAGCTACAGGCGCCAGCCACCACGCCTGGCTAATTTTTTTTTTGTTTTGTTTTGTATTTTTAGTAGAAACGGGGTTTCACCATGTTAGCCAGGATGGTCACGATCTCCTGACCTCGTGATCCGCCCACTTTGGCCTCCCAAAGTGCTGGGATTACAGGCATGAGCCACCGCGCCCAGCCAGGTGTCTACTATTAAAGTGAGGGCATTGATCGGAAAAGAATGGGACCCTGCAACTTGGAATGGGGACGTGTGGGAGGACCCTGATGAAGCTGGGGGCACTGAGTTTGTAAACTCTGATGAACCTTTTTTGCCAGAAGGAACAGCTTCCCCATCTCCAGTAGTGGCAACATCCCTCCCCGACTATGCTGCCATCAGCCTTTCCACCTTTGTCTGAGGAGATACAGCTTGTGCTGCCTGAGACAACAGTGATGGCCTCCCCTGAGGCAGTTGCCAGGCAAGATACTGTTGATTCTCCTCAAAAACCACCCCAACACCCGTGTTTGCTTCTAGACCTATAACTAAAGTCCTGGTGGGCCCCTAGAGGTGAGGCTGAGAGTGTGACCCATTAGGACATGTGCTACACTTGAAAAGAACTGCTTGAGTTTTCTAATTTATATAAACAGAAATCTGGAGAACAGGCATGGGAATGGATATTAAGGGTGTGGGATAATGGTGGAAGGAACAGGTCGGGCACAGTGGCTCATGCCTGTAATCCCAGCACTTTGGGAGGCCAGGGTGGGCGGATCACCTGAGGTCAGGAGTTCAAGACCACCCTGGTCAACATGGTGAAACCCTGTCTCTACGAAAAAAAATGCAAAACTTAGCTGGGCTGGTGGCGGGCTCCTGTAATCCCAGCTACTTGAGAGGCTGAGACAGGGAGAATTGCTTGAACCCGGGAGGCAGAGGTTGCAGTGAGTCCAAGATCATGCCACTGCACTCCAGCCTGGGCAACAGAGTGAGACTTTGTCTCAAATAAATAAATAAATAAATAAATAAATAAATAAATAGATGGAAGAAACACAGGGTTGGATCAGGCTGAATTTATTGATTTGGGCCTACTAATTAGGGACTCTGCATTTAATGTTGCAGCTCAGGGAGTTAAAAAAAAGGTTCTAATAGTTTATTTGCTTAGTCAGCTGAAATATGGATTAGAAGATGGCCCACTGTGAGCGAGCTGTAAATGCCTGATCTCCCTTGGTTTAATGTAGAGCAAGGGATCTGAAAGCTTAGGGAGATTGGGATGGTGGAGTGCATTAGTCACTTTAGACCTACTCATCCCAGCTGGAAAGGTCCAGAAGATATACCCTTGACCAGTGCTTTGCAAAATAGATTTGTGAGGGCAGCACCTGCATCTTTGAAGAGCCCTGTAATTGCTCTTCTCTGTATGTCCGATCCAATAGTGGGAATCTCAGTCACTCAACTACAAAATTTAAATACAGAAGTTGTATCTAGGCTGCCTTTGGGATTCAGCACCATGGCGGAAGAAGACATCGAGACCGAAATCAAGAACTACAAGACTGCCCCTTTTGACAGCTGCTTCCCAACCAGAACCAGACCAGGAACTGCTAGCAGAACTACCTGGACTTCCACTGCTGTCAGAAGGCAGTGACCACTAAAGGAGGTGATATCTCTGTGTGCGAATGGTACCAGCATGTGTACAAGTCCCTCTGCCCCACATACTGGGTCACAGCCTGGGACAAGCACTGGGCTGAAGGCACGTTTCCCGGGAAGATCTGAACTGGCTGCACCTCCCTCTCCTCTGTCCTCTGTCCTTCTCCCAGGGTGGTGAAGGGGGACCTAGTACCCGGTGATCCCCACCCCGGCATCCAAAATCATGACTTCACTGCTAATAAAAACTCATGGGAAAAAAAAAATTTAAGTACAGTGGGAATAACTGGATCCCAAGTTGGCAGACACCAAGTGGCAGCACTCAATTGTCAAAGGCAAGGTGGGCATAGCTACCCTAACAGACAGCAGAGGCAAAGTGGCAATCAGAATAGTCTGACTCGTGTAGAACTCTGGCATTAGCTAATTAATCAGTGTTCCTAGAAGTGAAATTGATAGGCAGCCTACTGCATTCCTATTTAATTTATATAAGCAGAAAAATAACAGTTAAGGTCCAATGCAAACAGAAAGGGTCAGGAAAATGGGTTGGGCATGGTGGCTCACATCTGTAATCCCAGCACTTTGGGAGGCTGAAGCAGGAGGATCACCTGAGGTCAGAAGTTCAAGACCAGCCTGGCCAACATGGTAAAACCTCATTTCTACTAAAAATACAAAAATTAGAGCCAGGTGTGGTGGTGGGCACCTGCAAACCCAGCTACTCAGGAGGCGGAGGCAGGAGAATCACTTGAACCTGGGAGGCAGAGGTTGCAGTGTGCCAAGATTGCGCCATTGCACTCTAGCCTGAGCGAGAGTGAGAATCTGTCTTAAAAAAAAAAAAAGGAAAGAAAAAAAGAAATCTGGGGAAGAGGTATGTGGATGGAGCCTCTCTGAGTGGTCAAAAACTGTGAAGATATTTGTATTCCATGTGAGTGCTCCGCTAAGTGACCTCAGCAGAGGAGGATTTTAATAATCAAGTGGATAGGATGACCCGTTCTGTGGACACCACTCAGCCTCTTTCCCCAGCCACCCATCATCGCCCAATGAGCCCATGAACAAAGTGGCCATGGTGGCAGGGATGGAGGTTACGTGTGGGCTCAGCAAGATGGACTTCCACTCACCAAGGTGGACCTGGCTCTGGCCACCGCTGAGTGCCCAATTTGCCAGCAGTGGAGAGCAACACTGAGCCCTCGATATGGCACCATTCAATCAGCCAGCTCCCTGGTGGCAGGAAGATTATATTGGACCTCTTCCATCATGAAAACAGTAGAGGTTTGTCCTCACTGGAATAAACATTTACTCTGGATATGGGTTTGCCTATCCTGCAGGCAATGCTTCTGCCAAGACTACCATCTGTGGACTCACGGAATGCATGGTATTCCACACAGCATTGCCTCTGACCAAGGCACTCACTTTAGGGCTAAAGAAGTGTAACAGTGGGCGGCCGGGCGCGGTGGCTCATGCCTGTAATCCCAGCACTTTGGGAGGCCGAGGTGGGTGGATTACGAGGTCAGGAGATCCAGACCATCCTAGCCAACAGGGTGAAACCCCGTCTCTACTAAAAATACAAAAAATTAGCCGGGCGTGGTGGCGGGCGCCTGTAGTCCTAGCTACTCGGGAGGCTGAGGCAGAATGGCGTGAACCCGGGAGGCAGAGCTTGCAGTGAGCCAAGATCGTGCCACTGCACTCCAGCCTAGGTGACAGAGCGAGACTCCATCTCAAAAAAAAAAAAAAAAAAGAAAGAAAGAAAGAAGAAGTGTAACAGTGGGCTCATGTTCATGGAATTCACTGGTCTTAACCATGTTGCCCATCATCCTGAAGCAGCTGGATTGATAGAATGGTGGAATGGCCTTCACTGTAATTGAAGTCACAATTACAACTCCAACTAGGTGACAATACTCTGCAGGGCTGGGGTAAAGTTCTCCACAAGACCATGTATGCTCTGAATCAGCGTCCAATATATGGTACCGTTTCTCCCATAGCCAGAATTCACGGATCCAGGAATCAAGGGGTTGAAGTGGAAGTGGCACCACTCACCATCACCCCTAGTAATCCACTAGCAAAATTTTTGCTTCCTGTTCCTGTGACATTATGTTCTGCTGGCCTAGAGGTCTTAGTTCCAGAGGGAGGAATGCTGCCACCAGGAGACACGATTCCATTAAACTGGAAGTTAAGATTGCCACCTGGACACTTTGGGCTCCTCCTACCTTTAAATCAACAGGCTAAGAAGGGAGTTACAGTGTGGGCTGGGGTGACTGACCCGCACTATCAAGATGAAATCAGTCTACTACTCCACAGCGGAGGTAAGGAAGAGTATGCATGGAATAGAGGAGATCCATTAGGGTGTCTCTTTTTTTTTCTTCTTGAGACGGAGTCTCGCCCCGTCACCCAGGCTGGAGCACAGTGATGCTATCTCGGCTCACTGCAAGCTCCGCCTCCCGGGTTCACGCCATTCTCCTGCCTCAGCCTCCCACATAGCTGGGACTACAGGCATCCGCCACCACGCCTGGCTAATTTTCTTGTATTTTTAGTAGAGACGGGGTTTCACCATGTTAGCCAGGATGGCCTCGATCTCCTGACCTCGTGATCCACCTGCCTCGGCCTAGGGTGTCATTACAGGCGTGAGCCACCACGCCCAGCCTGGGGTGTCTCTTAGTATTACCATGTGATACTACCATGCCCTGTGATTAAGGTCTACCGGAAACTACAACAGCACAATCCAGGAAGGACTACAAGTGACCCAGACCCTTCAGGAATGAAGGTTTGGGTCACTCCACCAGGAAAATACCACAACCTGCTGAGGTGCTTGCTGAAGATAAAGGGAACACAGAACGGGTAGTGAAGAAGGTAGTCATTAATACCAGCTATGACCGCATGACCAGCTGCAAAAAGGAGGACTGTAATTTTCATGAGTATTTCCTCCTTTTGTTAAAAACGTGTTTGTGCATTTATACACTTCTACTTAAGAAAATATCTTCATGTTAGGCCAGGCGTGGTGGCTCACGACTGTAATCCCAACACTTTGGGAGGCCGAGGCAGGTGGATCACCTGAGGTCAGGAGTTCAAGACCAGCCTGGCCAACATGGCGAAACCCCATCTCTACAAAAAAATAAAAAAATTAGCTGGGCGTGGTGGTGCACGCCTGTAATCCCAGCTACTCAGGAGGCTGGGAGGATTGCTCGAACCCAGGCGGCAGAGATTGCAGTGAGCTGAGATCGTGTTATTGCACTCCAGCCTGGGCGACAAGAGCAAAACTCCGTCTCAAAAAAAAAAAAACAACAACAAAAAACATGTTATTTCCTTTCTTCTGTATCACATGACATTTAGATTTATTGACTTCACATCAGCATTTAAGTATTGTTAACTTTATGTCATAGTATTTGGGTTGGGGATTGGTGCGTTTCCGGTTGTACGAAGGATAGTTATATTATGTTAGGCATAATTATGACCCTATTATTATCTTTATTTGAAGATTATATATGATCTCAGGAGATGTGTATTGATTCAAGTTGACAAGGGGTGGATTTGTGATGGTTAAAACTGAGTGTCGGCCGGGCGCAGTGGCTCATGCCTGTAATCCCAGCACTTTGGGAGGCTGAGGCGGGTGGATCACAAGGTCAGGAGATCGAGACCATCCTGGCTAACATGGTGAAACTATGTCTCTACTAAAAATACAAAAAATTAGCCAGGCGTGGTGGCGGGCGACTGTAGTCCCAGCTACTTGGGAGGCTGAGGCAGGAGAATGGTGTGAACCCGGGAGGCAGAGCTTGCAGTGAGCCGAGATCGCGCCACTGCACTCCAGCCTGGGCGACAGAGCGAGACTCCATCTCAAAAAAAAAAAAAAAAAACTGAGTGTCAAGTTGATTGGACTGAAGGATACAAAGTATTGATCCTGGGTGTGTCTGTGAGGGTGTTGCCAAAGGAGTTTACTTTTTGAGTCAGTGGGCTGGGAAAGGCAGACCACTCTCAATCTGGGTGGGCACCATCTAATCAGCTGCCAGCGAATAATAAGCAGTCAGAAAAATGTGAAAAGGAGAGACGGTCCTAGCCTCTCAGCCTACATCTTTCTTCCATCCTGGATGCTTCCTGCCCTCGAACATCGGACTCCACGTTCTTCAGTTTTGGAACTCTGACTCACTCTCCCTGCCCCTCAGCCTGCAGATGGCCTACTGTGAGACCTTGTGATGGTGTGAGTAACATTTAATAAACTCCCCCATATATATTTTATATATAATATATATTATATACTTATTATATATTATAATTTATATATTATATTTATATAACACATATTATATATTATATTAACTTATATATATTATATATTCTATATATATTCCATTAGTTCCATCCCTCTAGAGATCCCTGACTAATATAGCTGATGAGCTAAAAAAAAAATCACAAAAAGACTAATAATTTTTTTTGTTTTTTGTTTTGTTTTGTTTTGTTTTTCGAGACGGAGTCTTGCACTGTCGCCCAGGATCAAGTGCAGTGGCCCTATCTGGGCTCACTGCAAGCTCCGCCTCCTGGGTTCACACCATTCTCCTGCCTCAGCCTCCCGAGTAGCTGGGACTACAGGCGCCTGCCACCACGCCCGGCTAATTTTTTTTGTATTTTTAGTAGAGACGGGGTTTCACCATGTTAGCCAGGATGGTCCCGATCTCCTGACCTCGTGATCCACCCGCCTCAGCCTCCCAAAGTGCTGGGATTACAGGCGTGAGCCACCGTGCCCGGCCGACTAATAATGTTTTAAGAAAGTTTATGAATTTGTGTTGGGCCACATTCAAAGCAGCCTGCAGGCTGAGGGTTGGACAAGCTTGCATTTGATACCAGTTCCATGTCTTCTGAGCTGTAGACAGAGATCAGCAAACTACAGCTTGTGGGGCAAATCCAGTGCCTGCCTCTTTTATTTTCACATTCCATGAGTTAAGGATGGTTTTTATATTTCTCCTTTTTTAAGAGACAAGGGTCTTGCTCTGTCACCCAGGCTGGAGGGCAGTGGCACAATCACAGCTCCCTGCAGCCCAACTTCTTGGGCTGAAGCAATCCTGCTTCAGCCTCCCAGAGCACTGGGATTACCGTTGTGAGCCACCATGACTGGCCGTACACTTTTTAGCTGTAGAAAACAAAAAAAATCAAAAGAAGGGCCGGGCACAGTGGCGCACGCCAGTAATCCCAGCATTTTGGGAGGCTGAGGCAGGTGAGTCACTTGAGGTCAGGAGTTCGAGACCAGCCTGGCCAACATGGTGAAACCCTGTCTCTACTAAAAAAAAAAATACAGCTGGGCCGGTGGCTCACACCTATAATCCCAGCACTTTGGGAGTCTGAGGTAGGCAGATCACCTGAGGTCAGGAGTTCGAGACCAGCGTAGCCAACATGGCAAAACCCCGTCTCTACTAAAAATACAAAAAAAAAAAAAAAAAAAAAAATTACCTGGCGTGGTGATGGGCTCCTGTAATCCCAGCTGCTTGGGAGGCTGAGGCAAGAAAATTGCTTGAGCCCAGAAGGCGGAGGTTGCAGTGAGTCAAGATTGCACCGCTGCACTCCAGCCTGGGAGACACAGTGGGACTCTGTCTCAAAACAAAAAAAAACAAAGCTGGGCATGGTGGCTCACGCCTGTAATCCCAGCACTTTGGGAGGCCGAGGTGGGCAGATCTTGAGGTCAGGAGATCGAGACCATCCTGGCTAACACGGTGAAACCCCGTCTCTACTAAAAATACAAAAAAATTAGCCGGGCGTGGTGGCAGGTGCCTGTAGTCCCAGCTACTTGGGAGGCTGAGGCAGGAGAATGGTGTGAACCCGGGAGGTGGAGCTTGCAGTGAGCCGAGATAGCGCCACTGCACTCCAGCCTGGGGGACAGAGCAAGACTCTGTCTCAAAAAAAAAAAAAAAAAAAAAAAGGCCGTTGTAATCCCACCTACGTGGGAGGCTGAAGCACGAGACTTGCTTGAACCCAGAGCAAGACTCCATCTCAAAAAAAAAAAAAAAAAAATTAGCCATCGTAATCCCAGCTACTTGGGAGGCCGAGGCATGAGAATTGCTTGAACCCGGGAGGTGGAGGTTGCAGTGAGCCAAGATCCAGTCACTGCACTCCAGCCTCAAAAAAAGCAAGACTCCATCTCAAAAAAAAAAAAAAAAAAAATCAAAAGAAGGATGTTTCATGGCATGTAAAAATGATATGTAATGCAAGTTTCAGAACTCATGAATAAATTTCTATTGGCACACAGCCACTCTCACTTGTTTATGTATCTTTTATGCTGCTTTCATGTTGTAACAGGAGAGTTAGAGTTGAGAAGTTGCAGCAGAAATAGCTTCTTATCTAGCCATTTTGCTTCCAGTTTCTCCAGATTCATTCAACCTACATCATGTGATCAGTTAACTTTCCAATATACAGATCATTCCCTTCTCATTTCTAAAGCCCCTGTGGCAGCCTAATGCCTTTAGGATGCAGGCCAAATCCAATGCAGCATTCAAGGCCGTCCATGAGCTGGCCTCACACAGGTTATTTCCTGCCATTTTCCCCCAAAGAATCCTATGATCTAGCCACAAAAGATGACAGGGCAGTCTTGAACGCACTCCATTTTCACCACCCTTTGTCTTTTCTCAAACCCTCTTGAAATGCCCTCTCCCATCTCCTTAACCCAGGAAAATATTTTTTTCTTTCTCTTTTTAAATCATTTAAGGCCTAGAGCAACCGACTTTTCCTTAGTGAAACCTACACAGGAAGAATTAATTGCTCCGTCCTTTGTATAAGAAATTCACAATACTTCCCAAAGTGAATTCCACAGAATTCCAGTCCTAAAGGGTGTGGCTACCAAATATTTGTAAAAAGTGTTCTCAGCCAGGTGCGGTGGCTCATGCCTGTGATCCCAGCACTTTGGGAAGCCGAGGTAGGCAGATCACCTGAGGTCAGGAGTTCGAGAACAGCCTGACCAACATGGTGAAACCCCATCTCTACTAAAAATACAAAAATTAGGCCGGGAGCGGTGGCTCACGCCTGTAATCCCAGTACTTTGGAGGCCAAGCGGGGCACATTGTCTGAGCTCAGGAGTTCGCGACCAGCCTGGGCATCTGGTGAAACCCCATCTCTAGTAAAAATACAAAAACTTAGCCAGGCGTGGCGGTGTGCTAATTTTCCCAGCTACTTGGGAGGCTGAAGCAGGAGAATTGCTTGAACCTGGGAGGCGGAGGTTGCAGTGAGCCTAGATCACGCCACTGCACTCCGGCCTGGGCAACAGAGCAAGACTCCATCTTAAAAAACTAAAAAAAAATAAAAAATACAGGCCAGGCGCAATAGCTCACGCCTGTAATCAATGCTCATCTTTCCAGAATTGGGAGGCTGAGCCGGGCAGATCACCTGAGGTCAGGGGTTCGAAAACAGCCTGACCAACATGGAGAAACCCCGTCTCTACTAAAAAAATACAAAATTAGCGGGGTGTGGTGGCACATGCCTGTAATCCCAGCTACTTGGGAGGCTGAGGCAGGAGAATCGCTTGAACCCGGGAGACAGAGGTTGCGGTGAGCCAAGCCCCCTTGCGCCATTGCACTCCAGCCTGGGCAACAAGAGCGAAATTCCGTCTCCAAAAAAAAAAAAATTAGCCGGGCATGGTAGCAGGCGCCTGTAATCCCAGCTACTCCGGAGGCTGAGGCACAAGAATCACTTGAATCTGGGAGGCCAGAGCTGCAGTGAGCCAAGACCGCCCCATTGTACTCCAGCCTGGGCAACAAGAGCGAAACTCTGTTAAAAAAAAAACAAAAAAAGTTGGGGGGGGGGCGGTTCTCAGATGAAATAAACTTGGGAAATGACAGATTAAACAAAGTTTAACAGGTTTATTTGTTGCAGGGCCTCTCTGAGCCTTTAAAAATGCTGACAGCGTGGCCAGGCACGGTGGCTCAGGCCTATAATCCCAGCACTTCGGGAGGCCGAGGTGGGATGATTATCGGAGGTCAGGAGTTCGAGACCATCTTGGCCAATATGGTGAAATCCCATCTCTACTAAAAATACAAAATTAGCTGGGCCTTGTGCGCGCGCCTGTAATCCCAGCTACTCGAGAGGCTGAGGCAGGAGAATCGCTTGAACCCAGGAGGCGGAAGTTTCAGTGAGCCGAGATTGTGCCATTGCACTCCAGCCTGGGCAACAAGAGTGAAACTCTGTCTCAAAAAAAAAGAAAAAAGAAAAAATGCTGAGGGCAATTGTAAATCTGCCTTATCTGGAGAACACCTTTGGGAACATGAAGTGAAATTGGGGCCATTGGCAACTATCATTCTCAGCATATGAAAGAAACCTATGCAGTTGGAGAAAATAAGGTCAACACAGAGGGAAGCAAAACTAAGAAGAAAGAGCACAAAAGTGCCCTGAACCACGGCGTGAGCCCCTGCACCCAGCCAGCTGTGAAGACAATCCGACCACTGGGCTTCCTATTACATGAACCTATAAGCTACTTTTTATTTTTCCTTTAGGTACTTTGAGCTGAGTTTCTGTCATCTGCAAGCAAAAGTGCCCTCACGCAATACATATGCCTTTTTTTTTTTTTTTTTTTTTTGAGATGGAGTCTCACTCTGTCACCCAGGCTGCAGTGCAGGGGCATGATCTCAGCTCCCTGCAACCTCCACCTCCCGGATTCAAGCAATTAATTCTCCTGCCTTAGCCTCCCCAGTAGCTGGGATTACAGGCGCCCACAACCATGCGTGGCTAATTTTTGTATTTTTAGTAGAGACCGGGTTTCACTATGTTGGCCAGGCTGGTCTCAAACTCCTGACCTCAGGAGATCTGCCCGCCTTGGCCTCCCAAAGTCCTGGGATCACAAGTGTGAGCCACTGCACCCGGCCCATATGTCTCTCTCAGTGGGCTATTTGCCCCATGAAGGTAGGGACTATATTTTATTTATCTTTCTACTTACCCCAGAATCTGATACATGGGAAGTATGCAATAAGTGTTTATTGATTTCTCCTGAATTAAATAAAGGAATGAAAATTCTGGAAAGATGAGCATTGATTTAACTGGCACATACACTTCTGGCTGTTTTGTGGGTTGCGTTCTAAGACAATAAAGCCAAAATGCAGAGACCCTAAGAAATTGGTGGCAATAAAGCATTTGATTAAGGTATTATAAGGCAAATAGGATACTTGGAAGACATGAACTAGGCATAATTATCAAGGAAATAATTTTTCTCAGGATATCCTACTGATAAGTAGGTTGCTGTCTCCAGAGGCCAACCAAGCAGCCAACAGAAAGAACAGGTAACCTGCAGAGACTTGCTTAGTCTCTGATTTCATGAATTACTCTCAAATTTTCAACAAAAACCCATCTTGCCTAGAGAGATCAGAGCTTCACAGATACTCCTCATCCCCTGCTTGTAAAGTTCCTTCTGATATCCATCCAGATTCTCCTACTCCTGTATTGAAAAACAGATGGCCATGTCGTCAAAGGTCATTGCCACTTGGAACCCCAAACACATTTCCTTTTGTCTCAGGGTGGCTTCACACCTGTCCTCATCAGTAATGTTTAAAAGCCCTTCTACCTTTGTTATATTGGGGAAGGAGTTAGGACACAAATCTTGAGAAGGCAGAATATTCATCATGTGAATTGACTTAGGCTTTAGTGACATAATTCCAGGAATAGACTTGTGATGATTTTGCTGTTCCTCTTTTCAAAAGTTAACCAGTGCTGCAAACAAAGCAGATTTATACCCTGACAGAGGTGGAATATTGAATACATAGGCCCTTGTTTTACAGGAATAGTTTGGGGAGACTCATAGAGAAGTCAATCATTGGAACTTCTGCAGACACTTATTTGTAACTGGAGAAACACAATCTGAAATAATTTGATTCAATTAAATGAACATTTGAGCAATTACCATAGGACATAGTTCTGTAAGCACCTAGCCTACTATACAGTCATATAATGTTATAGTACTGCGTGATAAAGTACACATTGAACTGTCTTCAACATTTTGAGATGTTAAAAACACCAAAAACACCTGTGTTTATAAGCAAAAAATAGTTACATCTGCAGACTTCCATAATTGGTACCATTTCTTTTTTTTGTTTGTTTGTTTTTCTTTTTTTTGAGACGGAGTCTGCCTCTGCCCCCAAGGCTGGAGTGCAGTGGCGCTATCTCGGCTCACTGCAAGCTCCGCCCCCCAGGTTCACGCCATTCTCTTGCCTCAGCCTCCCGAGTAGCTGGGACTACAGGCGCCCACCACCACGCCCGGCTAATTTTTTTTTTTTTGTATTTTTTAGTGGAGACGGAGTTTCACCGTGTTAGCCAGGATGGTCTCGATCTCCTGACCTCGTGATCCTCCTGCCTCGGCCTCCCAAAGTGCTGGGATTACAGGCGTGAGCCACCGCGCCCGGCCATAATTGGTACCATTTCACCAAAATAAAATTTAAAGTGACAGTTTGCTCCAATACAGCTATGAGAAATTATCTTCTTCAAAACATTTTGCACCAGAAAAGCAAAACATCACTTTCCCTAGAAGGTGACAAAGCAAATAAGGAAAATGCCCTTTAGTTTCCTAGTAATTAGAAAACAGAATAGAAGCTTGACTAGGCAGTCACTACCCCAGAGACGCAACACCATTAACATTAATAATACCACGCCTGTAATCCCAGCACTTTGGGAGGCCAAGGCAGGCGGGCACGTGGTCAGGAGTTCGAGACCAGCCTGGCCAATATGGTGAAACTCAGTCTCTACTAAAAATACAAAGCTTAGCCGGACATGGTGGTGCGTGCCTGTAGTCCCAGCAACTCAGGAGGCTGAGGCAGGAGAATCACTTGAACCTGAGAGGCGGAGGTTGCAGTGAGCCGAGATCGCGCCACTGCACTCCAGCCTGGGCAACTGAGTGATACTCCGTCTCACTCACACACACACACACTCGCCGGGGGGGGGGGGGGGTGGCGCACGCCTGTAATCCCAGCTACACACACACACACACACACACACACACACACACTAGCCGGGCGTGGTGGCGCACGCCTGTAATCCCAGCTGCTTGGGAAGCTGAGGCACGAGAATCGCTTGAACCCGGGAGGCGGAGGTTGCAGTCGGCTGACATGGCACCACTGCACTCCAGCCTGGGTGACAGAGCGAGACTCCGTCTTAAATAAATAAATAAAAAGAAAATGGAAGTGCCTAATATTGCAATTCAGCATTGTACTTTCACATGTGCCCTTTATGGGAATCCTTTTCTTTTCTCACCCGTAATTTCCTGTTCTTTCTCCCAATCTGCACCTCATCCAGCAGAGTCTCCGCCCACAAGCTGCGCTTAGGGAAGCAGGCACTCTCCGGAAACTCTGGACTGAGTAAAATCAATGGGTGCGTGCGGGACTCCTCCACTGATTCTTTGATTCCACAGCATTTGTACAGCACCCACGGGGGCCCCACACTAGGTGGGAAACGAAGATGAAAAGTCGCAGTCTCTGTTCCAAAGACCGCAGAGCCCAGGGCTGCGTTTCCTTCCCGGCCTTTTGTCCAGGCCCCAGGGAGCGAGCTGGGGGAAGGCTCCCCGGCCAGGGCTTCCCCACAGATTTTACTAGGTCAGGGCAGCCCCGGGGAGGCGCCTCCTCCCAGCCGGAACCGCCCGACTCCGCTTCGTCCTCTTGGGCCCACGGACCACTCCCCACTGCCCCAGCCCCAACACCTGCAGATCCTGCGAGCCCGAGCCCTCCCGCGACCGCCCAGAGAGGGTCTGACACCCGAAGGGGAACCCCAGGGACTAGTCCTGCCGTAGTCTAAGCTCTGGTCTCGCGGAGGAAAAGCAGGGGCGGCCCCCGTACGCGGGGCCTGCGCCCTTCAGCCCCAGCCCCACCCTGCGCGACCCCGGGATCTCGCTCGGCGGCGGCCGTTGCCCAGGGCACAGGCAGGGCATGCTGAGAACGCTCTGCCTTTCCTGTGCCTGGACACGGCTCGGGCTGGGATCCCACAGCGCCGCCTTCTGGCGGGAGGCACCCCCGCGGCGCTGTGCATTCTGGGCTCCCTGGATCTCTGAACTTGAATTGGAGCTGCTCCAAGCTCTCCAGAGATAACCTCCTTTAGGGTTACACGAGATTGCCTCTGAAATTGATAGGTATGTAAATTAGTAGGGATTTGGAGAATGTGTAACGTCGCCATTTTCGGTTTCAATTTTTGCTACTACAAGCCGCCTGTCTTCACAATGAAACTGTGTTATCGGCCGGGCGCGGTGGCTCATGCCTATAATCCCAGCACTTTAGGAGGCTGAGGCGGGCGGATCACCTGAGGTCAGGAGTTTGAGACCAGCCTGGCCAACATGGTGAAACCCCGTCTCTACTAAAAATACAAAAATTAGCCGGGCGTGGTGGCACGCGCCTGTAGTCCCAGCTACTCGGGTGGCTGAGGCGGGAGAATCACTTGAACCCAGGAGGTGAAGATTGCAGTGAGCCGAGATCGCACCACTGCACTCCAGCCTGAGCAACAGAGCAAGATTCCGTCTCAAAAAAAAAAAAAAAGAAAAAAGAAACTGTTATTAAATAAAATAATAGGAGTCCATTGGTTCGGACTCAGCTCCAGCACTAGGCTCCAAGAGACCACACCAAGATGGAGTTACTCATGCAAAAGTGCCACATCACCAAACAGGCCAGCATAAGGAAGACCCCTCTGCTTTTTTTTTTTTTTTTTTTTTTTGAGACAGAGTCTCACTCTGTCGGCCAGGCTGGAGTGAAGTGGCACAATCTTGGCTCACTGCAACCTCTGCTTCCCGGGCTCAAGCACTTCTCCTGCCTCAGCCTCCCAAGTAACTGGGATTACAGGGGTGTGTCACCACGCCCGGCTAATTCTTGTATTTTTAGTAGAGACGGGGGTTTCACCATGTTGGCCAGGCTGGTCTTGAACTCCTGACCTCAGGTAATCCACCTGCCTCGGCCTCCCAAAGTGCTGGGATTACAAGTGTGAGCCACCGTGCCCGGCCAGAAGACACCCCCTCTGCTTTAACCTTTAGAAGAAAAAAGTAACTTTGAAACAACCAACCCACTTTTAGTTTTCTGTTTCTGCTTTTCCCAAGCTTTTTCTGTCCATAAAACCAACCGCGGGCCGGGTGCAGTGGCTCACACCTATAATCCCAGCACTTTGGGAGGCCAAGGTGGGCAGATCACGAGATCAGGAGTTCGAGACCAGCCTGGCCATCCTGGTGAAACCCCCGTCTCTACTAAAAATACAAAAAATTAGCCAGGCATGGTGGCGCATACCTGTAATCCCAGCTACTTGGGAGGCTGAGGCAGAATTGCTTGAACCCAGGAGGTGGAGGTTGCAGTGAGCCAAGATAGCGCCACTGCTCTCCAGCCTGGGCGACAGAGGGAGACTCCTTCTTAAAAAAAAAAAAAAAAACCCGCCTTGGCTGGCTCATCCAAACACTTATTCTGTTTTTCTGTTTTTGTTTTTGAGACCGAGTTTCGCTCGTTGCCCAGGCTGGAGTGCAATGGCACGATCTCGGCTCACTGCAACCTCCGCCTCCCGGGTTCAAGCGATTCTCCCGCCTCAGCCTCCCGAGTAGCTGGAATTACAGGTTCGCATTGCCACACCCACCTAATTTTTTGTATTTTTAGTACAGACAGGGTTTCACCATGGCCAGGCTGGTCTTGAACTTCTGACCTCAGGTGATCTGCCCGCCTCGGCCTCTCAGAGTGCTGGGATTACAGGCGTGAGCCACCACGCCGGGCCACTTATTCTGTTTCATGGGATGAAGTGTTGCTCAATTCTAGAATACCAAATAAGCCAATTAAGATTTTTAAACTAAATGTGTTGTAATTTTGTCTTTTGACAGTGCCATTGTACAGGTGATTCACTACTCCACCACTCCACTCACCTACTCACAATGACGGTTTTCAACATTTCAGGAACGGTTTCTACCTTAGGCTCAGAGCAATTCCTACTTCTCCCTCATGAGGAATTGGAGGAGGTGGTGATAAAATTCTTCATCTGGTTGTGAGGTGGTATTTCACACAACTCCTTGATAAATATTGGAGGTGATACTGGATACAGGAAAACTTACAATAATCAGATTGTTACAGGTAGTTAGGCATCAACAGGGCAGCAGAGGGCTCTCTCCCGACCCACTAGAAATGTCAGGTGATGGTTCAGCAATTAACAAATTGCCTCTCTAAGAATGAGAATTCGGCAGCCAGGGAGAGACAATCTCTTGATGGTCCACACCTGTTAACATTAAAAGTGTTAATTGAATACAGCCCCCCAAGCAGCAGCTTCTTGGGCACCCGTGTTAAGAGACAAATGGCGAAGTATAGGCCGGGCACGGTGGCTCACACCTATAATCCCAGCACTTTGGGAGGCTGAGGTGGGTAGATCACCTGAGGTCAGGAGTTCAAGACCAGCCTGGCCCACATTTTATATTTTTTGTATTTTTAGTCTCTACTAAAAATACAAAAATAGGCATGGTGGCACGTGATGGCGTGCGCCTTTAGTCCCAGCTACTCAGGAGGTTGAGAAAGAAGGATCACTTGAGCTTGGGAGGTGGAGGATACAGCGAGCTAAGATCATGGCACTGTACTCCAGGCTGGCTGACAGAGACTCCAAAAAAAAAAAAAAAAAGAAAAGAAAGGCCGGCACCGTGGCTCATGCCTGTAATCCCAGCACTTTGGGAGGCTGAGGCGGGCGGATCACGAGGTCAAGAGATCGAGACCATCCTGGCTAACACGGTGAAACTCTGTCTCTACTAAAAATACAAAAAATTAGCTGGGCGTGGTGGCGGGCGCCTGTGGTCCCAGCTACTTGGGAGCCTGAGGCAGGAGAATGGCATGAACCCGGAAGGTGGAGCTTGCGGTGAGCCGAGATCATGCCACTGCACCCCAGCCTGGGCGACAGAGCAAGACTCCATCTCAAAGAAAAAAAAAAAGGAATTTATAATTATATATTATTCTGTATCTTTATATATTAATTATATATTCTATAATTTTTTTGAGATGGAGTCTTGCTCTGTCTCCCAAGTTGGAATGCAGTGGTGCAATCCCAGCTCAATGCAACCTCCACCTCTGGGGTTCAAGCGATTCTCCTGCCTCAGCCTCCGGCGTAGCCAAGACTACAGGTGCATGCCACCATGCCCGGCTAATTTTTGTACTTTTTGGTAGAGATGGTGTTTCACCATGTTGGCCAGTCTGGTCTTGAACTCCTGACCTCAAGTGATCCTCCTGCCTTGACCTCCCAAAGTAATGGGATTATAGGTATGAGCCACCACGCCAGGCTATATTCTATAAATTCTAAAGAGAATGAAAAGGACTTGCCAAGCTTCCTTTGGGAGATACTAAATTTGTTTTTTTTTTTTTTTTGAGACGGAGTCTCGCTCTGTCACCCAGGCTGGAGTGCAGTGGCTTGATCTTGGCTCACTGCAAGCTCCGCCTCCTGGGCTCACACCATTCTCCTGCCTCAGCCTCCTGGGACTACAGGTGCCTGCCACCACACCCGGCTAATTTTTTTTTTTTTTTTGTATTTTTAGTAGAGACAGGGTTTCACTGTGTTTGCCAGGATGGTCTCGATCTCCTGACCTTGTGATCCACCCGCCTCAGCCTCCCAAAGTGCTGGGATTACAGGCGTGAGCCACCACCCCTGGCCCAAATTTTTTTTTTTTTTTTTTTGAGACAGTGTCATACTATGTCATCCATACTGGAGTGCAGTGGCACCATCATTGCTCACTGCAGCCTTGACCTCCCTGGGCTCAGGCGATCCTCCCACCTCAGCTTCAGGAGTAGCTGGGACTACTGGTGTGTACCACCATGCCTGGCTAATTTTTGTATTTTTAGTAGAGACAGGGTTTTGCCATGTTGCCCAAGCTGGTCTCAAACTCCTTGGCTCGTGATCCTCCTGCCACGGCCTCCCAAGTGCTGGGATTACAGGCATGAACCACTGTGCCTGGCCTAAATTTACTTTTATAACAATTACTTTTTAAAATGTCAGAACTTCCTTATAATTACACACATATATTTTTATACAAATGCACAAAGGTAATCACATCTTATCTGGATTTCTGTGTGCACCTTTTCTTAAAAATGTTAACAATCACATATAACCTCGTAGAAATTGTTTTCGTTTGCAGATGCCTCCTTTTTCATAAAATTATGTCCTTGTTTTATAATGCTGTCTTTTCCAATATAGCTGGGATCACGCCACTGCACTCCAGCCTGGGTGACAGAGCAAAACTCCATCTTGGAAAAAAAAAAAAAAAAGAAAGAAATATAATTGGTGATGCTTCTGAAGAGAAAATCCTTTGTGGTTCTTCATATTCCTAACTTGCATGACACTCTTGCTCAAAGAAGGATACCTGCTCCTAAAACCCGTCTACCAGCGGGTCTGGCTACTGTTGCTGTGGATTCCTGGGCAATACCAATCCTGCTCAACGCTTTGGATGTCCCACTCTGCCTCAACTCCAATCGGCCTCTATCATTGCAAACAGTTGGCTGAGCCTTTTCTTAATGTCCAGTTCATTTGGAGCAGGACAGGATTTTGTGTGTACTCTGATGTGCTCCGCAAGCTTAGACTTGTAAATGAAGCCCTTCCCACAATCGCCACAGGCAAAGGGCCTCTCGGGCCTGTGGATGCGCTGGTGCCTCAGCATGTGTCCCCTTTCCCGGAAGTTCTTGTCACACTCAGGGCAGTGAAAAGGCCTCTCCCCTGTGTGCAGGCCCTGATGGCTGAGCAGCTGCGCCTTCAGGCGGAAACTCTTGTCACACTTGGGACACTGAAAAGGCTTCTCTCCCGTGTGCGTTCTGATGTGCTCGATGAGCTTTGAGTGTTTCACAAAGCCCTTGCCGCACTCACAGGAGAAAGGCATCTCCCCGCTGTGCAGCAGCTGGTGGGCCTTCATGTCGGCCTTCACGCGATAGCGCTTGTCGCACTCCGGACACTGGAAGGGCCTCTCTCCCGTGTGCAGGCGCTGATGGCTGAGCAGCTGCCCCTTCAGGCGGAAGCTCCTGTTGCACTCTGGGCACTGGAAGGGTCTCTCCCCGCTGTGCACGCGCAAGTGCTCCGTGAGCTTGGATTGTCTGGTGAAGCCCTTGCCACACTCCCCGCACGAGAACGGCCTCTCCTTGCTGTGCGTGTGCTGGTGGGCCTTCAGGATGCCCTTCAGGCGGAAGCGCTTGTCGCACTTCAGGCACTGGAAGGGCCTCTCCCCGCTGTGCACTCTCAGGTGCTCACGGAGCTTGCACTGGTGGGTGAAGCCTCTGCCACACTCGCTACAGGAGAACGGCCTCTCCCCACCGTGCCGGAGCCGGTGGGCTCTCAGCATGCTCTCCAGGCGGAAGCTCAGCCCACACTCTGGGCACTGAAAGGGCTTCTCGTCCGTGTGCAGCCGCTGGTGCCGCAGCAGCTGTCCCCTCTGACGGAAGTTCCTGCCACACTTGGCACACCGGAAAGGCTTCTCTCCGCTGTGGACTCGAATGTGCTCCGTGAGTTTACACTGCTTGGCGAAGCCCTTGCCACACTTCCTGCAGGAGAACGGTCTCTCCCCACCGTGCGCGTGCTGGTGGACCTGCAGCAGGCGGCGCAGGCGGAAGCGCTTGGTGCAATGCGCACACTGGAAGGGCTTTTCTCCAGTATGCGCCCTGCAGGGGCTGGCGAGCCTGGCGCTCATAGGGGAGCGCTCGCCACACTCCGAGCAGGAGCAGGGCCCCTCTGCGCCATGCTGCAGCGCCTCCGTGTCCCCTTCCTGGTGGCTGTTCCCCTCCTGGGGCAGGCGCGAGCCTGGTTTCTGTCCCGAGTGCACACTGCTGGAGGCCCCGCGGCCTTCTCTCCAAGAGGCCGGCCCCTCCCGGCTGTGCTGGCACCGGCGAGCCTGCGTGCTGTCCACTGGGAGGGAGCGCTTGCCGCATGGGGTGCACTGGGCAGGCTTCTCCCCCTGCTGCGGGAGGCGGTGGCTGGGATGGGTCAGCTCGTGTCGGAAGCACATTTCACCGTCAGCGTTCCGGAAGGGGCCCCTCCCCGTGTGGGCCGCCAGATGGCGCAGCAGACACAGCTTCCGGCGGAAGCTCTTACCGCACACGCCACACCGGAAGTGCCTCTGTACCCGAGGGCTGCTCCACGGCATCTGCGTCTCCGCCCTCTTGTTGAATTTCTCCCAGGCCCTACGTGTCCGGTCCTTTGAGTGGCCTCTCTGGTGCATTACTAAATGGTTGTTCTCCCAACAGCTTTCCCCGCAGACAGGCCAAGGGTGCTGGGTGCTCTCCCAGGCGGGGACGTCCCACAAACCAGGAAGATCCAGATTTCTGGGACCTGGGATTCCTTCTTTTAGGGTAGATTCACTGGGGCCGCAGGCTAGTGGTGGAGGAGCCCTGGCGTCGTGTCTCTGTGGGCTCCCGAGGGTGATGCCTTGGTCAGGCCTGAAGGAAACAAAGGATCCAAAGGAACACTGGCTTTCAGGATCTAATTGGAAATGGCTTTTAGTTTTTCCTGAATTCATAGCCTGCTGGCTTCCTGCAATTGAAAACAAAAATTCAGTCGGTATTCCTGTCTGCAGCACTACTAGCGATTCTCACAGTCAAGTGACCCACAAGAGTGCCTTGTGGTGGCCTGGGAACCCAGCTTCCACTGAGCTACCCAACCATGCAGTGTGATCTGTCTCATGGCCGTGAGTTTGGTGAGTCTGCTGAAACTAAACTGAACAGACATATCTTTGGATAATATTGAAAAAAGGAAAATATAGGTCGCAAATATAGAGTGTAAGCTCTGGAATCAGTCTGCCTAGTTTTGAATCCTATCTGTCCACTGTGTAACCTTTGTCAAGCTAATCTCTTTTGACTTCAGCTCCTTCTGTAAAAACATGGAAACAAAAGTACATAAGATTACTGTGAGAATTAAATGAGCTAATGTGCATGAGGTGCTTAGCATGGTGCCTGGCATAGTGCATGTACTCTGTTTAAGTGTTGGCTGTTCTCATGACTTCAGGAAAGCCAGTGTATCGCATTCTGATGTACAGACACACCTGGAGTCCCGAGCTGGAGCCCTGACCAATACCACAGTTATACGTGATCCTTGAGCCATCCTGTCTCTAAGACCTGGCAGCAAGGCTTGGGCCTATTCCTCCCTCCCTGCCCCCATTTCTGCCAATGTTTCAAGAAGGTTTCTTGGAATAATTAATAGATGGTAGAAAGTTAAGTAATTTGTGGGGGAAAAACCTTCACTTTCGAAAGAAGCACCTAAAAACAAAAACTATTTGACAAGATTTCTTGAAATGATGCTCCTGTTTGACTTTTTCATTCTGTACTTTAAGAATCCAAAAATCTCAGACTCTCTCCTCATGACAAGAAATGAAAGAGAGGAGCTCAGGTTGAAGTATTCAAGTAGACAACAGTCTCTAGTTAGGAAGGAAGCCACGTTAGTCATGAAGATCTGGATAACCATGGGCCAGGCATGGTGGCTCACACCTATAATCCCAACACTTTGGGAGGCTGAGGTGGGAGGACTGCTTGAGGCCAGGACTGCTGGAAGCCAGGAGTTCAAGACTGCAGTGAGCTATGATCATGCTACTGTGCTCCAGCCTGGGTGACAGAGCAAGATCCTGTGTCTTAAAAACCAAACAAACTGGATAACCAGTTTCTACTGAGTTCTTACTATATAAACTGTCTCTCAATATATATACACATATATATGTATACATATATACACATATATTTATGTATACATTTATATACATATGTATATACACGTGTGTGTGTATATGTGTGCGTGTGTGTGTGTGTGTGTGTGTGTATATATATATATATATATATATATATATATATGTATATATATATAGTTTTTTTTTTGAGACTGAGACTTGCTCCATCGCCCAGGCTGGAGTGCAGTTGCATAATCTCAGCTCATTCACTGCAAGCTCTGCCTCCCAGGTTCAAGCAATTCTTCTCCCTCAGCCTCCTGAGTAGCTGGGATTACAGGCACCTGCCACCATGCCCGGCTAATTTTTTTGTATTTTTAGTAGAGTAAGGGTTTCACCATGTTGGCCAGGCTGGTCTGGAACTTCTGACCTCAAGTGATCTGCCCGCCTCGGCCACCCAAAGTGCTGGGATTACAGGCCTGAGCCACCATGCCTGGCCTAACACTATATATATTAACCAATTCAATCCTGTTAACATGGGTACTTTCATTTTATAGATCAGGCATTGAAATACCAAAAGGTTCAATAACTTGCCCAAGGTCACCAAGAAAAAGCAAGATCCAGACACAGACTCTAGAACCCACATTCCTAACCATTATGCTTTACTGCCTTTATCTAGAAGATAAGAGTCTTCAAACCTCAGCTTGCCCAAACAGGATGACAAGATCAGAGAAGAGAAACAAATCTGAACATGATGTCTCAAGGTCGGGGCCCTGATTTCTTAATACTCACCCCAAAACAGCTGTTCCTCAAAACCTGGATCAAAATGCATATCAACAGAGGAGCAAATTATGTTTCCTGATTTCTGTGATTCTCTCCATTTCCTGAAGGGCTCTCCCCCGTGTTCAATCCAGGATATTAGTTCTGGTTTTGGAAGTCCATCATCTGCACAGAGAAGTCAGACAGGGTAGTTTGGCTTCCTGAATTTAAAGCACACTAAGTTTCTAAATTTCTCAACATTCACTCCTGGGACAAAGTATGAGAACAACATGTCAAAAAAAAAAAAACAGGTTTACACAAAGATGAAAAAACCGCCTACACATCCTAACAATGCCTCCTAGTCTGTCTGGGCATGTTAGATCAGGTATGTTGTTTTAATTTTGTCATGTTCCCCACACATTTAGCAATGCTGTATTTTGTCCAAAAACAAAATGGCTAATGCTATATATATATATATATTTTTAAAATTAATTATTTATTTTTTGAGATGGGTTCTCACTCCAGTTGCCAAGGCTGGAGTGCAGTGGTGCAATCATGGCTCACTGTAGCCTCGGCTTCCTGGGCTCAGGTAATTCTTCAACCTCAGCCTGGGACTACAGGCACGCACCACCAGGCCAAGCTAATTTTCGCATTTTTAGTGGAGACGGGTTTCACCGTGTTGCCCAGGCTGGTTTCAAATTCCTGTGCTCAAGCAGTCTGCCTGCCTTGGCCTCCCAAAGTGCTGGGATTACAGGCATAAACCACTGCGCCCAGCCTTCAATATTCTTAATAGTGATTTATTAACAGCCAGATCATAGGGTCCAATTTTAAAGCAAGTTGGTTATGGCAAAAATGCGGTCAAAAAGGAGTTTTTAAAATAATGCTTTAAGTTATTATTACTATTGTTTTAGATAGGGTCTCACTCTGTCTCTCAGGCTGGAATGCAGTGGCATGATCACAGCTTACTGCAGCCTCAACCTCCTGGGCTCCAGTGATCTGCCCACCTCAGCCTCCTGAGTAGCTGGGACTACAGGCAAGAGCTACCACACTGGCTAATTTTTTTTATTAGTTTCTGAAATGGGGTCTCACTATGTTGCCCAGGCTAACCTCAAACTCCTGGACTCAAGTAGTCTTACCCCACCCTGGAGTCTCAAAGTGCTGCGATTACAGGCATGAGCCACCGCACCTGGCCAGTGGTTTAACTTATTAGAAATATTTCTGGCACATGGAGAAGGAGAAAAATATACAAAAACCTGGATGCCATCTAACTTTGTCAAATCCTACTGTGCTGACACACTTCAGGTTTTTTTTTTTTTTTTTTTTTTTTTTTTGATAGAGTCTCACTGTGTCTCCCAGGCTGAAGTGCAGTGGTGCAATCATAGCTCATTGCAGCCTCAACCTCCTGGGCTCAAGTAATCCTCCCACCTCAGCCTCCTGACAGCTGGGACTACAGGCGGGAGCCACCATGCTCAGCTAATTTTTAAATTTTTTGTAGAGAGAGGGTCTCCCTAGTTTGTCCAGGCTGGTCTCAAACTTCTCAGCCCAAGATATCCTCCTACCTCAGCCTCCGAAAGTGCTGGGATTATAGGGATGAGCCACCATGCCCAGTCTACTTCAGGTTTTTTGAAGATATGAGACATTACACAGTTTAAGCCCCTGTATATCCCTCTCCAGACATAAGCACTACCCTGAATCTGGTGTACATTATTCCTATGCATGTTCTTATTTTAAAATATATATGTATAAATAAAATGTTGCTGGGTTTTTGTTTTGTTTTTTTTGACAAAGTTTCACTCTTGTTGCCCAGGCTGGAGTACAATGGCGCGATCTCAGCTCACCGCAGCCTCCGCCTCCCAGGTTTAAGCGATTCTCCTGCCTCAGTCTCCCGAGTAGCTGGGATTACAGGCATGCGCCACCATACCTGGCTAATTTTTGTATTTTTAGTAGAGACAGGGTTTCTCCATGTTGGTCAGGCTGGTCTCGATCTCCCGACCTCAGGTGATCCGGCTGCCTCGGCCTCCCAAAGTGCTGGGATTACAGGCATGAGCCACCGTGCCCGGCCTATATTGCTGGTTTTAAACTTTACACAGACCAGGCCGGGCGCAGTGGCTCACGCCTGTAATCCCAGCACTTTGGGAGGCCGAGGCGGGAGGATGACGAGGTCAGGAGTTCGAGACCAGCCTGGCCAATATGGTGAAAGCTCATCTAATACAAAAGTTAGCTGGGTGTGGTGGTGTGTGCCTATAGTCCCAGCTACTCGGGAGGCTAAGGCAGGAGACTTGCTTGAACCTGGGAGGTGGAGGTTGTGGTGAGCCGAGATCGCGCCACTGCACTCCAGCCTGGGCAAGAGAGAGAGACTCCATCTTGAAAAAAAAAAAAAAAAAAACTACATAGACCATACCACATTGTACTGCAACTTGCTCTTCTCTCCTCAAATTATATTTTGAAAATTTCTCCATTTTGGAACACTTGGCTTCATTTGTTTGATAGTCTTGATTATATGAATATATCACAGTCTGTCTTTTTCTTCTGCTCCCTGGCATGCCTCTATGAATACACACATAAGCATTGACAGTTCTTGAAGTGAATTGCTGTATCACAGGATAAGCATGTCTTCAACTTTACTGTATGTTACCAAATTGCTCTCCAAAGTGGCTATGCTGATTGACAATAGAGTAGGAATGTTCACTTTGCTTCACATCTTGACAACACACGATGCTATCAGATGTTTTACTATCTCTAACATAGTACCACATAATAAGTCTTGCTATCTGATAAGACAATCAGTCACGTTCCATCTTGTTCCATAAGACTGTCTTCATTATTCTTGTCTTGGTTCTCCCATGTTCTTTAGGATCAGCTTATCAAATTCCGCAGAAAGCTCTATTGGGATTCTGACTGGACTTGCTTTGAATCTATAGATTCATTTGGGGAGAGAATTGACAGAAGGCAGAAAGATCCATGTAACTGACTATTAGATTAAGAAGATGGGTGGCCAGGCGTGGTGACTCACGCCTGTAATCCCAGCACTTTGGGAGGCCAAGGCGGGTGGATCATGAGGTCAGCAGATCGAGACCATCCTGGCAAACACGGTGAAACCCCGTCTCTACTAAAAATACAAAACAATTAGCCAGGCGTGGTGGCGGGCGCCTGTAGTCCCAGCTACTCGGGAGGCTGAGGCAGGAGAATGGTGTGAACCCGGGAGGCGGAGCTTGCAGTGAGCTGAGATTGCGCCACAGCACTCCAGCCTGGGCGACAGAGGGAGACTCCTTCTCAAAAATAAATAAATAAATAAATAAAAGAAGATGGGTGTTCTCCTAGCCGGCCACAGTGGCTCACGACTGTAATCCCAGAACTTGGGGAGGCCAAGGCAGGTGGATCACTTGACCTCAAGAATTCGAGACCAGCCTGGGCAACATGATGACGATGATGGATAATCACAAGGATATGATGAAAGCATGAGAAACAGTTGTGGCCCAACAGCGAAACAAATTAAAATGTAGCATAATTTTGTCTTTTTTTTTTTTTTTGAGATGAAGTCTCACTGTTGCCCAGGTTGGAGTGCAATGGCGTGATCTCGGCTCACTGTAGCCTCCGCCTCCTGGGTTCAAGTGATTCTCCTCCCTCAGCCTCCCAAGTAGCTGGGATTACAGGCATGCACAACCACACCCAGCTAATTTTTGTATTTTTAGTAGAGATGGGGTTTCACCATGTCGGCCAGGCTGGTGTCAAACTTCTGACCTCAAGTGATCCACCCACCTCAGCCTCCAAAAGTGCTGGGATTACAGGCGTGAGCCACCACACCTGGCCAAAATGTAGCATAATTTTGAACAACTGATAAGAATGAAAAAAAGAGAATCCATTTGATCTTGATGCTTGGAACATTCTTATTAGGCTGGCACAGGGTTAATGGCATAGAATTATATTTTTGCCTCTATAGATTCATTTACTGTAACTGATTCTTCAGTAACAATGAAAATAATGTAATGTTTTCAGTTATATGTTTTAGAAACAATCCATACATACAGCCTGCAAAAGTTAACTATGGTAGGCCAGGCACGGTGGCTCATGCCTGTAATCCCAGCACTTTGGGAGACCAAGGTGGGTGAATCACCTGAGGTCGGGAGTTTGAGACCAGCCTGACCAACATGGAGAAACCCCGTCTCTACTAAAAATATAAAATTAGCAGGGCGTGGTGGCGCATGCCTGTAATCTCAGCTACTCAGGAGGCTGAGGCAGGAGAATTGCTTGAACCCAGGAGGCGGAGGCTGCGGTGAGCCGACATGGTGCCATTGCACTCCAGCCTGGGCAACAAGAGTGAAACTCCGTCTCAAAAAAAAAAAAGTTAACTATGGTAACAGAACAGAATATAAATATTAGAAACTTTGCAATATAAAGGAAGTGGTATGGCTGTTGTCAACTGGCAGAAGAGATGAAGAGAAATACTAGAGAACTAATTATCTTTATATACTGAATGAGTCAGATGAAAATGATGGAATACAATCTAGAATCTTAAACATATTATTTTAAATTATAAAGCTGACCAACAGAGGCACAAAAACTATCAAAAACTGGGGAGAAGATGATAGAAGAGGGATTGTATAAGTGAACTAATGCCTAATTTTTCATAGTAATTAATTCTGTCTAAACTCGATAAATCAAGTTATTGGAAGCGTATTTAGATTGGAGGAAGCCACTTTAAAAACTAAAACAAAAATGGTTAAAAGTGGTTGCCCTCACGTGGTTAACTGAATGTGGAGATAAGAATGAAACGGGCTGGGCGTGGTGGCTCACGCCTGTAATCCCAGCACTTCGGGAGGCTGAGGAGGGCGGATCACGAGGTCAGGAAATCGAGACCATCCTGGCTAACACGGTGAAACCCTGTCTCTACTAAAAATACAAAAAAATTAGCCGGGTGCAGTGGTGGGCGCCTGTAGTCCCAGCTACTCGGGAGGCTGAGGCAGGAGAATGACGTGAACCCGTAAGGCGGAGCTTGCAGTGAGCTGAGATCCCGCCGCTGCACTCCAGCCTGGGCGACGGAGCCAGACTCCGTCTCAAAAAAAAAAAGAATGAAACAGGAGACTTCGATCTTTCACTTGATGCTTCTCTGAACAGACTGATTTTTTAAAAATGATATTTGATAAATGAAATATAAAAACCAAATAAGCAAAAAGGACATCCAATACCATACCCAGGCAGAGACAGCTACTCTTTTTTTTTTTTTTTTTTTCCTTTTTGGAACGGAGTCTCACTCTGTTGCCAGGCTGGAGTGCAGTGGCGTGATCTCAGCTCACTGCAACCCCCGCCTCCCAGGTTCAAGTGATTCTCCTGCCTCAGTCTCCTGAGTAGCTGGGACTACAGGCGCCCGCTACCACGCCCAGCTAATTTTTGTATTTTTAGTAGAGACGGGGTTTCACCATGTTGGCCAGGATGTTCTTGATCTCTTGACCTCGTGATCCACCTGCCTCGGCCTCCCAAAGTCCTGGGATTACAGGCGTGAGCCACCGCGCCCAGCAGACAGCTACTCTTAAAACACTTCAGGCCAGGCGTAGTGGCTCACGCCTGTAATCCAGCACTTTGGGAGGCCGAGGTGGGTGGATCACGAGGTCAGGAGATTAAGACCATCCTGTCCAACATGGTGAAACCCTGTCTCTACTAAAAATACAAAAATTAGCCGGGCATGGCAGCACGCACCTGTAGTCCCAGTTACTCGGTAGGCTGAGGCAGGAGAACTGCTTGAACCCGGAAGGCAGAGGTTACAGTCAGCCAAGACTCCAGCCTGGGCGACAGAGTGAGACTATGTCTCAAAAAAACAAACACTTCATTGTACACCCTTCCAAAATAGCTTTTCTGAAGTATTTAGACCCCACTGTAAAAGCTGTGAGGTGGGGACATCCTAGGTTAAAGATATACAGAGCACTTCATGAATGTGCGCTAGGTGTGCTCCTATGTGGACAATCATGGCATCCTGATAGTCATGACTAAAGGCCCCTCATAAATAATATTTAGTCACCCGGACCACCTTACATTGTTCAAATATTCTCATGTAACAATGTCTACCCTTGAGTAAAGATTAACAATGTTGACAAAAGTATTAACAATAGATTGCAGGGTAAAAATACCCTTCTGAGTTAATTTCTGAGAAATCTTGCTACCTGAGAAACAGGAGCATCAAGTGACTGTGACCCCTTACAGGATCCAGTTCCATGACCTACCCACAAAGGTGAACAGGTCTTACCTAGAGAGACGAGAGTCTCATAATTGCTTCTCATCACATGCTTGTAAAGTTCCTTCTGCCATGCCTCTAGATCCTGCCATTCTTGCTCGGAGAAATAAATAGCAACATCCTCAAAAGTCAGAGGTAGCTGAAATTGTAGACATAAGACATATGCATTCATGGTTGCTTCAAAATGACTCCAGCTCCTTCTCCTTGTTAATTTAAAAGACTTCTGCAGTGGACAAATGTTTTTGGTTGTTCAGCAGCTTCTTCCTGGAGAACTACTCCTTCCTCTACTCCAATTACATCGTTCTGCTGTTAACCACTACATCCCCCGCTCCACGTTTCATTATGCTTGTTCAAAGTATATATACACATGTAGAGTATGGAATTTTTTTCTTTACAAAATGGGAACAAGTCACTTTGTAACTTCATTCACTTAATATGTCACAGACTTCTTTCCAGGTCAATAATATATATTGAGGCAAATTCATTTTTTTGGTAAAGTCGCACTATATTCCATGAGTAGAAGATATACCCCACTGATGGGACATATAGTTTGTTTCCCTTATAAATTACAGTATTCAGCCAGGCGCAGTGGGTCATGCCTGTAATCCCAGCACTTTGGGAGGCTGAGGCGGGCAGATCACGAGGTCAGGAGTTCGAGATCAGCCTGACCAACGTGGTGAAACCCCACCTCTACTAAAAATACAAAAATTAGCCGGGTGTGGTGGCGTGCACCTGTAATTCCAGCTACTGGAAAGGCTGAGGCAGGAGAATTGCTTGAACCTAGGAGGCAGAGGTTGCAGTGAGCGGAGATCGCGCCACCGCACTACAGCCTGGGCGACAGAGCAAGACTCGGTCTCAAAAAAAAAAAAAAAAAAAAAAAAAAAAGTGTTCTCATGCGCTTTCTAGGTATTAGTGCTTTTACTTCTTCAGGATAAAGTATAAAAGGGGAAATACTAAATCAAAGAGAAAACACATCTTCAGTTTTAATAGATAACATCAGATTGCCTTCCAAAAAGAATGCAGCACATTTACCCTTGCTATTAACATGAGACTTCTTGTTTCTTTACACCTTTGCCAGCACAAGATGTTCTCAAACCTTATTTTTTGCCAATGTGGGGCGGCAAGTTGTATTTCAGTATTTTAATTTACATTATAAGGCTGGAAGTCCTAGCCACAGCAATCAAGCAAGAGAAAGAAATAAAGGGTATCCAAATTGGAAAACTATCTCTGTTTGCCAATGATATGATCCTCCACCTAGAAAATCCTAGAGACTCCTCCAAAAGACTCCTCCAAAAGACTCCTAGATTTGACAAATGAATTCAACAAAGTCTCAGGTAACAAAATTAATGTATATAAATCAGTAGCACTGCTATACACCAACAGCGACCAAGCTGAGAAATCAAGAACTCAGTACCTTTTACAATGGCTGGAAAAAACAATAAAATGCCTAGGCATTCGCTTGACATGGTTTGGCTCTGTGTCCCCACCCAAATCTGTTGAATTGTAATCCCCAGGGTTGGGGGAGGGGCCTGGTGGGAGGCAACTGAATCATGGGGGCGGACTTCCTCCTTGCTGTTCTCATGATAGCGAGTTTTCACAAGATCTGGTTGTTTAAAAGTGTGTAGCACTTGCCCCTTCGCTGTCTCTCCTGCTCCAGCCATGAGAAGACCGTGTGATTGTAAGTCTTCTGAGGCCTCCCCAGAAGCAGAAGACTAAGAGTTACTAGCAACTGGTTTTGAATTTTACTGCTTTTCTAAAAACTGCATTAGAAAAAATGCAGTGTATGCAAATGTTCAGTATTGTTTAATATTTGTGTTTATTACAGTTGACTTAGATAAATGGATACTTCCTGAGGCTCACAACTAGGAGTATGTAAATTATATATTTGTTAATTTAAAACACTCTAATTACATAAGCATACATCCCACCTTTTATTGAACTGCCATTGTTATTGCCATATGTCCTCAATTTTTATGGGTATTAAAGTTTATCTTGTTCCAACTTAAATTTTTTTTTTTTTTGAGACGGCATCTCGCTCTGTTGCCAGGCTGGAGTGCAGTGGCGTGATCTTAGCTCACTGCATCCTCCACTTCCCAGATGCAAGCAATTCTCCTGCCTCAGCCTCCTGAGTAGCTGGGACTACATGTGTGCACCACCACACCTGGCTAATTTTTTTGCATTTTTTGTAGAGACGGGGTTTCACCATGTTGGTCAGGCTGGTCTCCAACTCCTGACCTCAAGTCATCCACCCACCTTGGCCTCCCAAAGTGCTGGGGCTACAGACATGAACCACCATGCTCAGCCTCTTCATCTTTTATTTTTATTTATTCATTTTGAGACGGAGTCTCACTCTGTTGCCCAGGCTGGAGTGCAGTGGCGTGATCTTGGCTCACTGCAACCTCCACCACCCTGGTTCAAGCGATTCCCCTGCCTCAGCCTCCTGAGTAGCTGGGATTACAGGCACACGCCACCACACTGGGCTAATTTTTTTGTATTTTTAGTAGAGATGGGGTTTCACCATGTTGGCCAGGCTGGTCTTGAACTCCTACCTCAGGCAATCTGCCTGGCTGGGCCTCCCAAAGTGCTGGGATTACAGGCGCGAGCCACCGCACCCAGCCAGCCTAGTCATCTTTAAATTTTTTTTTCTTTTTTTTTGAGACGGAGTTTTGCTGTTTTGCCCAGGTTGGAGTAAAGTGGCACGATCTCAGCTCACTGCAACCTCCACCCACCAGGGTTCAAGCAGCTCTCCTACCTCAGCCTCCCAAGTAGCTGGGATTATAGGCGCCGGCCACCACCCCTAGCTAATTTTTGTATCTTTAGTAGAGACAGGGTTTTGGCACATTAGCCAGGCTGGTCTCGAACTTCTGACCTCAGGTGATCCACCCGCCTCGGCCTCCCAGTGCTAGGATTACAGGCGTGATCCACCGCGCCCGGCCAAAGTTTATTTTTATTTATTTATTTGTTTATTTTAAATGTTAGTTTCAGGCAAACATGTGCAAGTTTGCTATACAGGTAAATTGCATGTTGTGGGGGTTGGTGTGCAGACTGTTTCATCACCCAGGTAATAAGCATAGTACCCGATAAGGAATTTTTCAGTCCTCATTCTCCTCCCAGCCTCCACCTTCAAGTAGGCCCCAATGTCTGTTATTCATTCCCTGCTTCGTATCCATATATACTCAGTGTTTAGCTCGCCCTTATAAGTGAGAACGGCACTTTGTTTTCTACTCCTGTGTTATCTCACTTAAGACAATGGCCTCCAGCTCCATCCATCTTTCTGCAAAGGATATGATTTTCTTTATGGCTGCATAGTATTCCATAGTGCATATGTACATTTTCTTTATCCAGTCTGCCATTGATGGGCATTTAGGTTGATTCCACATCTTTGCTATTGTGAATAGTGCTGCAATGAACATATGCAAACATGTGTCTTTATGCAGAACAATTTATATTCCTTTGGGTATATATTCAATAATGGGATTGTAGGGTCAAATGGTAATTCTGGCTGGGCGCGGTGGCTCACGCCTGTAATACCAGCACTTTGGGAGGCCGAGGCGGGCAGATCACCTGAGGTCAGGAGTTCTAGACCAGCCTGGCCAACATGGAGAAACCCCATCTCTACTAAAAATACAAAAAATTAGCTGGGCGTGGTGGCACGCGCTTGTAATCCCAGCTACTCAGGAGGCTAAAGCAGGAGAATTGCTTGAACCCAGGAGGCAGAGGTTCCAGTGAGCTGAGATGGCACCAGCCTGGACAACAGAGCAAAACTGCATCCCAAAAAAAAAAAAAAAAAAAAAAGTTAATTTTGCTTTGAGTTCTTTGAGAAATCACCAAACTGCTTTCCACAACGGCTGAACTAATTTACATTCCCACCAGCAGTGTATATGTGTTCTCTTTTCTCTGTAACCTTGTTTTTAACTTTTTAATAGCCATTCTGACTGATACGGTTTTGATTTGCATTTCTCAAATGATTAGTGATGCTGAGCATTTCTTCATAAGCTTGTTGGCCATGTATATGTATGTCTTCTTTTGAGAAGTGTCTGTTCATGTCCTTTGCCCATTTTTTAATGCAGTTGTTTTTTGCTTGTAAATTTAAGTTCCCCATAGCTTCTGGATATTAGACCTTTGTCAGTTGCATAGTTTGCAAATATCCCATTCTGTAGGGTGTCTGTTTACTCTGCTGATAGCTTCTTTTGCTGCATAGAAGCTCCTTAGTTTAATTAGGTCCCATGTGTCAATTTTTGTTTTTGTTGCAGTTGCTTTTGGAGTCTTCATCACGAAATCTTTGCCAGGGCCTATGTCCAGAATGCTACTTCCTAGGTTATCTTCCAGGGTTTTTATAATTTTAGGTTTTACATTTAAGTCTTTAATCCATGTTGAGTTGATTTTTGTATATGGTGTAAGGAAGGGGTGCAGTGTCGGTCTTTTGCATATGGCTAGCCAGTTATCCCAGCACCATTTATTAAATAGGGAGTCCTTTTCCCACTGCTTGTTTTTGTTGACTTTGTAGAAGATCAGATGATTGTAGGTATGTGGCGTTATTTCTGGGCTCTCTATTCTGTTCCATTGGTCTATATGTCTGTTTTCTTACCAGTACCATGCTGTTTTGGTTACTGTAGCCTTGTATAGTTTGAAGTCAGGTAGTGTGATGTCTCCAGCTTTGTTCATTTTGCCTAGGACTGCCTTGGCTATTTGGGCTCTTTTTTGGTTACATATGAATTTTAAAATAGTTTTTTCAGCCAGGTACTGGCTCATACCTGTAATCCCAGTAAGTTGGGAGCCCAGGAGTTTGAGAACAGTCTGGGCCACATAGCTAAACCCCATCTCTACCAAAACAGTAACAAAATGCACAAAAATTAGCAGGGCATGATGGCACATGCCTGTAGTCCTAGCTACCTGAGAGGCTGAGGTGGGAGAACTGCTTGAGTATGGGGTTTCACCATATTGGCCAGGCTGGTCTCGAACTCCTGGCCTCATGATCTGCCCGCCTTGGCCTCCTGAAGTGTTGGGATTACAGGCGTGAGCCACCACTCCTGGCAATATAGTTTTTTTCTAATTGTCATTGGTAGTTTGATAGGAATAGCAATGAATCTGGAAACTGCTTTGGGCAGTATGGCCATTTTAACAATATTGATTCTTCCTATCCATGAGCATTAAATGTTTTTCCCTTTGTGTTATCTCTGGTTTCTTTGAGTAGTGTTTTGTAATTCTTGTTGTAAAGATCTTTAACCTCCTTGGTTAGCTGTATTCCTCGGCATTTTTGACTAGATGTGAATGGGACTGTATTCTTGATTTGGCTTTTAGCTTGGATGTTGTTGGTGTATAGGAATGCTACTGATTTTTGTACACTGATTTTTGTATTCTCAGACTTTGCTGAAGTTGTTTTATCAGATCAAGGAGCGTTTGGGCACCCTATGGGGTTTTCTACATATAGAATCATACAGTCTGCAAACAGGGATAGTTTGACTTCCTCTATTTCTATTTGGATGACTTTTATTTCTTTCTCTTGCCACACTGCTCTGGCTAGGACTTCCCATCTTTTTGTTATATTCATTATGAAATTTAGAGTTGAGTTTTAAAAACTCTGACTCCTTTAAATTTGTCTTAGTCTGTTTAGTATTGCTGTAAAGGAACACCAAGGTGGGGTAATTTTTAAAGAAAAGAGGTTTATTTGGTTCACAGTTCTGCAGGCTGTATAAGAAGCACATCACCAGCATCTACTTCTGGCGAGGGCCTCAGATGGCTTTTGTTCATGATGGAAGGTGAAGGGGGCTGGGCACGGTGGCTTACACCTGTAATCCCAGCACTTTGGGAGGCCAAGGTGAGCAGATCACCTGAGGTCAGAAGTTCAATACCAGCTTTGCCAATATGGCTAAACCCTGTCCCTACTAAAAATACAAAAATTAGCTGGGTGTGGTGGCAGGGGCCTGTAATCCCGGCTACTTGGGAGGCTGAGGCAGGAGAATCGCTTGAACCCAGGAGGCAGAGATTGCAGTGAGCCAGTATCACACCATTGCACTCCAGCGTGGGTGACAGAGCGACACTCTGTCTCACACACACACACACACACACACATACACACAAAAGGTGAGCTGGCATGTGCACAGATCACATGGCAAGAAGAAGCAAGACAGAAGGGGGGATGTCAGGCTCTTTTTAACCAGCTCCCTCAGGAACTAATAGAGGACAGCACCAAGACATTCATGAGGGATCCACCCCCCATGACCTAAACACCTCCCATTACAGCCCACTTCCAACAGCGCAGATCCTTTTTTTTTTTTTTTGAGATAGAGTCTTGCTCCATCGCCCAGGCAGGCTGAAATGCAGTGGCACGATCTCAGCTCACTGCAGCCTCCACCTCCCAGGTTCAAGCAATTCTGTCTTGGCCTCCCAAGCAGCTGGGACTACAGGCGCCTGCCAACATGCTCGGCTAATTTTTGTATTTTTAGTAGAGGCAGGGTTTCACCTTGTTGGTCAGGCTGGTCTTGAACTCCTGACCTCAGGTGATCCACCTGCCTCAGCCTCCCAAAGTGCTGGGATTACAGGCGTGAGCCACTGTGCCCAGCCGCAAATCCAATTTTGACATGAGATTTAGGGACAAATATCCAAACTGCAGATATAGCAACACTTAAATCAGAAATTCATTATTTTAACTTTAAGGAAATATAGTCATTTCTGCTATAATCCTTGTTTTGAAATGTGAATTTGTTCCAACATGATTATTAGGAGACAATATATTACAAAATTTTGCATTTGCTTATGTGCAATTCTGTCTATAAGAAACACTAGATTAGTGGTTCTCAATCAGAACAATTTTGTCCCCTGGCAACATTTTTTATTGTTATAATGTGGGGAAGCGGGGTGGCCTATGGGCATCTAGTGCGTAGCAGCCAAGAATAGTGATAAACATCCTACGATGCGCAGGACAGCCTGCAAAACAGAAAATTATCCAGCACAGGATGTTAGTAGTGGCAAGGGTGAGAAACTTTGTACTATGTGAACAAACAGAACTGGGCTGCATAGACATACGCAAAATGCACACATGCAACACACTTCAAACATCAGATTACCCTGTGTTATGAGCCCTACCCATTCACCTCCGGGGTCACAACTTTCCATCTCATTTCAGATAACCTTCCTTTCACCACTTCACAATAGCTCACAAACTGCAACCCTTGCTATGCCCACTTCCACAAGCACATTTCAGGTAGTTCTTTTAGGTTTTTTTTTTTTTTGAAACGGGGGTCTCTGTTGCCCAGGCCAGAGTGCAGTGGTGCCAACACAGCTTACCATAGCTTTGATCTCCTGGGCTCAAGTGATTCTGTTGCCTTAGCCTCCCGAGTAGCTAGGACCACAGGGATATGCCACCACACCTGGCTAATTTTCTGTAGAGAGGGGTCTCACCATGTTGCCCAGGCTTTTTTTTTTTTTTTTGTCTTTCTTTCGAGACCGAGTCTTGCTCTGTCACCCAGGCTGGAATGCATTGACACGATCTCAGCTCACTGCAACCTCCGCCTCCGAGGTTCAAGTGATTCTCCTGCCTCAGCCTCTCGAGTATCTGGGATTACAGGTGCCCGCCACCACGTCCAGCTAATTTTTTTATTTTTAGTAGAGATGAGATTTCACCATGTTGGCCAGGCTGGTCTTGAATTCCTGACCTCAGGTGATCTGCCCACCTGGACCTCCCAAAGTGCTGGGATTACAGGTGTGAGCCACCACGCCTGGCCTGCCCAGGCTTATTTCAGGCAGTTTTTAAGGCAATTGAGATAATTTATTACTCATTAAAGTGCATAAAACTGCTTTTAGGTTCTTTCAACACATCACTGATTAAAGTTTGAGTATTGTATGTGTAACATTTCTCCCAATAAGCTCTGTGGTTTTTATTGCACAATTTTGCATAGCACTATGATTTTTAGAAATGCATATGCTGTATTATTGCAGAACTGAACGTATGTTTATACTTGTGTTAAAGATACTCATTCTCTCCTCTTCTCTGATTAAAATTCCTTACTTTTAAAACTTTTTTAATTTTTAGAAGTTTAAAAATCCAGAGAGTTACAGAGAAAACTATAAGCATCCTAGTATTCACCACTGACTTAACAAGTTTAACATTTTTCTTCAGAGTTCCTTTTAATGAAATAGAATGTGACCGGTGAAACTCAAGTTCTTGTGGTTCCTCTCTTCAATCATGTTCTGATATTGTCACATTCTCCTTCCTTTGTAAAGGCAAACATTATAAATAATATGGGAACTTTCCAGTTCATTTTAATACATATATGTATCTGTAAATATTCAGTATTACTTTGTGTCTTTTATACGTAAATACTTTATTATACTTGTATTCTTCCCTCAACATTTTGGGATCTGGCCCTGTTGAGTTTCTTTTTTTTTTTTTTTTGGAGACAGAGTCTTGCTCTGTCGCCCAGGCTGGAGTGCAGTGGCGCGATCTCGGCTCGCTGCAAGCTCCGCCTCCCGGGTTCTCCCGCCTCAGCCTCCCGAGCAGCTGGGACTACAGGCTCCCGCCCACACGCCCAGCTAATTTTTGTTTTTGTATTTTTAGTAGAGACGGGGTTTCACCGTGTTAGCTAGGATGGTCTCGATCTCCTGATCTCGTGATCCGCCCGCCTTGGCCTCCCAAAGTGCTGGGATTAGAGGCGTGAGCCACCACGCCCGGCCCTGTTGATCATATATGTAGCTAATTTATTTTAATTTTGTATAGTGTTCCACCGTCTGAATGTCACAAGTTTGTTTGTTTTTGAGATAGAGTCTCGCTCTGTCGCCCAGGCTGGAGTGCAGTGGCGCCATCTCAGTTCGCTGCAACCTCCACCTCCCGAGTTCAAGCAATTCTCCCTACCTCAGCCTCCCGAGGAGCTGGGATTACAGGCGTCCGCCACCACACTCAGCTAATTTTCGTATTTTTTAGTAGAGACAGTTTTTCGCCATGTTGGCCAGGCTGGTCTTGAACTCCTGACGTCAAGTGATCTGCCCACCTCGGCCTCTCAAAGTGCTGGGATTACAGGCGTAAACCACGGCGCCTGGCCTGAATGTCACAAGTTTTAAAATCCATTCTTTTACTCATTAATAATTTATTTTCAGGTCTGTGATTTGGCTGTTTATATCCTTTCCCCATATATATAGGTATGTATATATTTTTGGAGACGGAGTTTCGCTCTTGTTGCCCAGGCTGGAGTGCAATGGTGCAGTCTCGGCTCACTGCAACCTCCGTCTCCCGGGTTCAAACAATTCTCCTGCCTGAGCCTCCCGAGTAGCTGGGATTACAGGCGCCCGCCATCATGCCAGGCTAATTTTTTGTATTTTTAGTAGAGTTGGGGTTTCACCATGTTGGCCAGGCTGGTCTCGAACTCCCGACCTCACGTGATCCACCCGCCTCGGCCTCCCAAAGTGCTGGGATTACAGGCGTGAGCCACCGCGCCCGGCCTAATTCATTTAATAATCAGCAAAAATCCTCAACATTAAAGTTTACAAGATAAAAATACCCTCTAAACCTCGATTTTAAGAAACCACTAACTTAATTTTTTGTATCCTCTTCTACTCTTCCCAACGTATCATCTTACACTCAACCCAAATCACGCTAGACAATAAATTCTGACATTGAAGCCCCCGCCAAACACCATTTCAACCATTCGGAATCTTAAACTTTTTGGAACAGTTGTTCTGATTTCGGTGACTATGATGTAAAACTGGTTGACCTGTAACATCCACCTCTGGCCCCAAACCTTTCTATCCTTTCCACCGTCCGCTCCCCGTCCGCCCGGCATCCTCGCCCAGGCTCCGCCCCGCTCCTAGGTCGGCCTCGGTCCACGCTCGGCTTTGTCCAGGGGTTTGGCCACGGACAAGCCGCGGGAGCGGAGGCCACCTGCTCACCGCAGGGCCCGGAATCCACATCCCCAGCAGAAGCAGCCTGCAGACTCCGTCCTACCCGTGCACCGCGCGCACTCACGGGGACCCCAGGACACGGGCGAGCCCGGAACCCGAGGACCCACCACGACCCCGAAACCGGGCGTCCAAACAGGCTAGCCCGCTTACCCGAGGCGGCTCCGCCATGGTCCCCGCGGTCCCGCCCGGCCCTGGCAAACCCGACCGTCTCCGGCGGCTCCGCAGGAACCTGCCCTGCTGCGCACTGACTCCCCTCCGCTCCGCCCCAACCCGACTCCCACGCACAGCCCGGGTGGCCCCCAAACGCAGCGCCGGCCGGGCGCGGTGCATGCTGGGACCCGGCGCCCGGCCGCGGCTGCCGCTCAGTCCTACAGCGCCTCCTGCGGGAGGAAGAAGCGGCGCTGCCTGAGCGTCGGTCCTCAGAGGAGGGACCCAGGGGCCCGGGCGCCCTCAGAGCAGGCCGCAGCACGCCGGTCTTTGAGGGACCCTCGGATTCCCGGGATCTGGGGAGGGAAGCGGTCAGAGACAAGCTGAGGAGCTGGCCGGAGGGGAAACGGAGGGGCAGGACATGGAGAGATCAGGGACAGGGACAGGGAGAGATCAGGGACAGGGACAGGGAGACGCGCTCCACAGAAACCCAGACTGAGAGGCAGCGAGAGGGGAACCTCCGGTGCGGTTCCTCCCAAAGCCGCCCCCGAGACAGGCTTCGTCTGTGAGGGGGTCCCGGGAATCCAGCGAGGCCGGAAAGTGGGTGGGGGGCGCGCGCTGCCCGCGGTGGCCCGGGGCATCCGTCCCGCCGGGGGCGCGGAGGCCGTGGGGGCCCCATGCTTGTCCCGCCGGGGACGCGGAGGCGGGGTCCGCCCACCAGGTCCGGTCGCCGTGGGTCTAGAGCCCTCCGGGCTCCCCGGGCGGCCACGCTCCTTCCTTAGCAGAGAACGGCCTTGGGCAGAGACCCCATGCGGAAGCCACCCCGGCCTCAGGGCCGCCTGCAGGGACTCAGGGTGGCCCAAGGCTGCGGTCGGGCACCCCGGGCCCCGGCAGGAGACAGAGACAGAGTAGGAGGAGAAGACGGAGGAGGCCATGACACAGGGCGTGAGAAACACGAGAACGCAAGAACAGGGGAGAGGTGGGGAAACCAGGAAGAGACAGAAAGGAGAGAGGGCGAGGAAGGGGGTGGCGATTGTCTCCAGAAAATCAACCTCGCATTCTGTCTTAGTCATGTCTTAGGTGTCAGGCTGAAGTAGCAAAGGAAAAGTGTGTAGTTTGGAGAGGATGTGCATAAGAAATAAAATAGTCCCTGCGTAGGCTGAGGAGCATATACGCATCTGTGTTTGCCACAGAATCGTGAAATGTACATGCACCTTACTGTTTAACGTTTTTTATTTTTACAACTGTTATACAGTACAATTTTTTTTTTTTGGAGACAAAGTCTCACTCTTGTCACCCAGGCTGGAGTGCTGTGGCGCAATCTCGGCTCACTGCAACCTCTGTCTCCTGGATTCAAGCAATTCTCCTGCCTCAGCCTCCCGAGTAGCTGGGATTACAGGCATTTGCCACCACGCCCGGCTAATTTTTGTATTTTTAGTAGAGACGAGGTTTCACCATGTTGGTCAGGCTGGCCTCAAACTCCTGACCTTGTGATCTACCTGCCTCGGCCTCCCCAAGTGTTGGGATTACAGGCGTGAGCCACCGCGCCTGGCTTTTTTTTTTTTTTTTTTTTTTTTTTTTTTGAGACAGAGTCTTGCTCTGTCGCCAGGCTGGAGTGCAGTGGTGGGATGTCGGCTCACTGCAACCTCCGCCTCCCGGGTTCAAGCTATTCTCCTGCCGCAGCCTCCCGAGTAGCTGGGACTACAGGCACGCGCCACCATGCCCGGCTAATTTTTTGTATTTTAGTAGAGACGGGGTTTCGCCATGTTGGTCAGGCTGGTCTCGAACTCCCAACCTCAGGTGATCCACCCGCCTCGGCCTCCCGAAGTGTATACAGTACAATTTTTTAATGTATACTGCTATGAACTTTTTTTTTTTTTTTTTAGACGAAGTCTTGCCCTTGTTGCCCAGGTTGGAGTGCAGTGGCACGATCTCAGCTCATTGCAGCCTCTGGGTTCAAGTGATTCTCCTGCTGGCCGGGCGCGGTGGCTCAGGCCTGTAATCCCAGCACTTTGGGAGGCCGAGGCGGGCGGATCACGAGGTCAGGAGATCGAGACCATCCTGGCTAACACGGTGAAACCCCGTCTCTACTAAAAATACAAAAAATTAGCCGGGCGAGGTGGCGGGCGCCTGTAGTTCCAGCTACTCTAGAGGCTGAGGCAGGAGAATGGTGTGAACCCGGGAGGCGGAGCTTGCAGTAAGCTGAGATCGCACCACTGCACTCCAGCCTGGGCGACAGAGCGAGACTCTGTCTCAAAAAAAAAAAACCAAAAAACAAAAAAACCTGCTTCACCCTCGCGAGTAGCTGAGATTACAGGCGCATGCCACCATGCCTGCCCCGCTAATTTTTCGTATTTTTAGTAGAGACGGGATTTCACCGTGTTAGTCAGGATGGTCTCCATCTCCTAACCTCGTGATCCGCCCACCTCGGCCTCCCAAAGTGCTGGGATTACAGGTGTGAGCCACTGCACCCTGCCATGAACTTTTAACTATTAACTTTTTTTATAACTGTAAGTTATATAGAAGTATAACTTCTATACTACTACATAGAACTCCAAATTTTAACATATGCATAAACATGTAACTGACATCATAATCAGGCTGTTGTAAAACCCCAAAATCAGGCTTGTGTACCTCATGGGCAGCTGAGGCCAAACACTGAGACACCGGTGCTTGGAGATGCAAAAAGGTTTCATTGATTTGGCCAAAGCGAGAAGGCAGCAGAGCAAATCTCTAAAATCTGTCTTAACAAAAGGAAGCAGGGAGTTTTTATGGGGCTAGAGAGTAAGGGAGGGGGAGTTTCAGGGAACCAAGGGGGAAAGTCTGTGTTTCTTCAGTCTCTGATAACACCTTGAGCAATCAGGCTTCTGGGCGTCAGGGGCTGGCCACAACGACCCTGAAGGCATTCCCCCTGCAACAATTTTTCATGACCCTGAAGTTATCTCCTTCTCCTTGACAATCAAACAGTACATCAGCAGTATGTAATTATATTGTGAGAACAAGGAATATTGGGCAAAAAGCAAGTGGTTAAAACATGCAAACAAGCAAGGGCCTGATCAGAATTTTCATTTATTCAGTCCTTAAGAACTGCAGAATGCTGAAGTCTCAAGGGGCCCGGTTACAAGGCTATTGGAAGTTTCATCACCCTCTAAAATGCCCTTAAATAGCTTTTTTGTTTTGTTTTTTAAAAAATTGTTGGTCCGGCGCGGTGGCTTACGCCTGTAATCCCAGCATTTTGGGAGGCTGAGGCAGGCGGATCACCTGAAGTCAGGAGTTCTAGACCAGCCTGGCCAACATGGTGAAACCCCGTCTCTACTAAAAATACAAAAATTAGCCGGGCGTGGTGGCACGCGCCTGTAATCCTAGCTACTCGGGAGGCTGGGGCAGAAGAATCACTTGAACCCTGGAGGTGGAGGTTGCAGTGAGCCGAGATCACGCCACTGCACTCTGGCCTGAGCAACAGAGCGAGACTCCATCTCAAAAAATAAAACAAAACTAGCCAGGCATAATGGCAGGTGCCTGTAATCCCAGCTACTGGGAAGGCTGAGGTGGGAGAATCACTTGAACCCAGGAGGCGGAGGTTGCATTGAGCCAAGATCACGCCATTGCACTCCAGCCTGGGCAACCGAGCAAGACTCTGTCTCAAAAAAAAGAAAAAAAAGTGTAGAGACAGGGTCTTGCTATGTTTCCCAGTCTGGTCTCAAAATCCTGGCCTCAAGTGATCCTCTGCCTGGGCCTCCCAAAGTGCTGGGATTATAGGTGAGAGCCACTGTGCCCAGCCATCTTGTAATGTCTTTTGATCCACCTCCCTTCCTATATCTGTAACCCCTAGCAAGGGCTGATTTATTTCTGTCCCTATAGTTTTACCTTTCAAGAATGTCATATAAACGGAATTATACAGTATGTAACCTTTTGAGACTTATAAAAGTTTACAACATACTTCAACTCACTATACCTTTGAGATTCATCCACATTGTTATCTGTATCAATGTTATTAAGGAGCACCAGCTGTAGTGGCTCTCACCTGTAGGTCCCCTCAAGGGATCCTGAGGTGGGAGGATCCCTTAAGCCCAAGAGTTCATGGCCAGCCTGGGCAATATAGCGAGACCCCTGTCTCCAAAAAGAAAAATAAATGCAGGCCAGGCACAGTGGCTCATTCCTGTAATCCCAGCACTTTGGGAGGCCGAGGTGGGCGCATCACTTGAGATCAGGAGTTTCAGACCAGCCTGGCCATCATGACAAAAACCTGTCTCTACTAAAAATACAAAAATTAGCTAGGCGTGATAACGCCTGCCCGTAGTCCCAGCTGCTTGTGAGGCTGAGGTAGGAGAATCACTTGAACCCGGGAGGCAGAGGTTGTAGTGAGTGGAGATCACACCACTGCAATCCAGCCTGGGCGACAGAGGGAGACTTTGTCTCAAAAGAAAAGAAAAAAATGCATTAGTACTATGGATGTATCACAGTTTGTATAGCCACCGTTCATCAAAGGACATTTGGATTGTTCCAAATTTTAGCAATTCTGAAGGGAGCTGCTGCAAACATTCATGTAAGTGTTTTTTTCTTTTTTTTTTGAGATGGAGTCTCGCTCTGTAGGCCAGGCTGGAGTGCAGTGGCGCGATCTTGGCTCACTGCAGGCTCTGCCTCCCAGGTCCATGCCATTCTCCTGCCTCAGCCTCCAGAGTAGCTGGGACTACAGGCGCCCGCCACCACGCCCGGCTACTTTTTTTTTTTTTTTTTTTTTTTTTTTTGTATTTTTAGTAGAGACAGGGTTTCACCATGTTAGCCAGGATGGTCTCGATCTCCTGACCTCGCGATCCGCCTGCCTCGGCCTCCCAAAGTGCTGGGATTACAGGCGTGAGTCACCACACCTGGCCATGTCATGTACATGTTTTTGTGTGAACAGAGGTTTTCATTTGTCTAGGATAAATACCCAAGAGTGGGATTGCTGGTCATTCAGTAAGTACATATTTATAAGAAACAAATCATTTTCTAGAATGGCATGATGCTGTTTTGCATTCCCATCAGCAATGTGTGAGAACTCTAGTTGCTCCATATTCTCCATAGTAGCTGGTATTGTCAGATGTTCTAAGGAGTAGAAAGCCTACAGTGGGCTGTGCCTCATGTTTCACTGGTTTAATCCCAGCACTTTAGGAGGCGAAGGCAGCAGAGGATAACTTGAGGCCAGGAGTTCAAGACTAGCCTGGGCAACATGGCAAGACCCTGTCTCTATTTAAAAAAGAAAAGAGAGGTCGGGCACAGTGGCTCACGCCTGTAATCCCAGCACTTTGGGAGGCCGAGGTGGGTGGATCACGAGATCAGGAGTTCAAGACCAGCCTGGCCAAGATGGTGAAACCCCGTCTCTACTAAAAATACAAAAAAAAATTAGCCGGGCACAGTGGCAGGCATCCGTAATCCCAGCTACTTGGGAGGCTGAGGCAGGAGAATCGCTTGAACTCGGAGGGTGGAGGTTGCAGTGAGCCGAGATCACGCCACTGCACTCCAGCCTAGGCGACAGAGTGAGACTCCATCTCAAAAAATAAAAAAAAAAATTAAAAAATAAAATAAAAGAGAAAGCCTACAGTGCAGGGCACTGACAACTGAACATGTCAAATAGAAACCTTTGAAACACCCCACCCAGCAAAAATCCTAACTATGAAATAGTCTTTAGTTTTAGGAAGAAGACATAAAATTTTAACTGCAGGCCGGGTGTGGTGGCTCATGCCTGTAATCCCAGCACTTTGGGAGGCCGAGGTGGGCAGATCACCTGAGGTCAGGAGTTCGAGACCAGCCTGGCCAACATGGTGAAACCCCGTCTCTACTAAAAATACAAAAAGTAGCCAGGCATGGTGTGCACACCTGTAGTCCCAGCTGTTCAGGAGGCTGAGGCAGGAGAATCGCTTGAACCCGGGAGGCAGAGGTTGCAATGAGCCAAGATTGCGCCACACTGCACTCCAACTTGGGTGACACAGTGACAGCTTGGGTGATGCTGCACTCCAGCTTGGGTGACAGCTGCACAAGATTGTGCCACTGCACTCCAGCTTGGGTGACAGCCATCTCGAAAAAAAAAGAAAAAAGAAAAAAAAATTTTTGAGTGGTTTTTCTCAAATTCACTGTTTGGAAAGAAAATGGGAGAGGAAGAGTAATGATACAAAATTAGCATGTCAGAATCACCTGTGACAGCTTTGAAATGTACATACATTCCTTTCCCATCTAGTGGGACTGAAAGACATGATTTCAAGAATGTTTGATTTCTCCCTCATGTGACCCAGTCACCAAACCCTGCTTAATCTTCTTTACCTTTTTTTCATATCCATCCTTTCTATCCTCAGTACCCAAAACCCAATTCATCGCTCCTTCTGACCATTCAAGAAGAATTTCTAGAATGTCTTGTTTTTCTTCCTTTTAGAAACGGGCTCTTGCTATGTCCTCCAGGCTGGCCTCAACCTCCTGAGCTCAAGCGACCCTCTCACCTCAGCCTCTCAAGTAACTGGGTGTGCCACCACGCTTAGCCCTAGAATGTCTTCTATGTCAGGTGTGTGTTAAGTGGAGAAAATGCAAAAACAAGAGCATACAGATGCCCTCCAGGGGTTCAGGCTATGAGGGGAAGCAGACAGAGTTTCAGTGGGGAGTGCTTTAGAGGAAGGAATTTAGAGGTGCTGGGAGAAGAGACAAGCATATAGCTAAAACATTCCTTTTCTCTGGACTGAATCATGGAATGTGAGGGAGGTGATGTGAGGGAGGGAAGGCATTCCAGACAGACGAGAGTCATGAGAGAATATAATGCACTTGAGAAAGATACATGCTGTGCGATGAGGCTGAGGCTCACATTGTGAAGGTCAAACTGAAGCGGCAGGTCAGGGTCAGCTCACAGGTTCTTCTAGGTCCCGCCACCTCGCCCGGCTAATTTTTTGTATTTTTAGTAGAGACGGGGTTTCACCGTGTTAGCCAGGATGGTCTCAATCTCCTGACCTCGTGATCTGCCCATCTCGGCCTCCCAGAGTGCTGGGATTACAGGCGTGAGCCACCGTGCCCGGCCTTTTCTAGGTCTTATTAAAGAATGCATTTATAATAAAATGGGAAACTTCTTCTTTTTTTTTTTGAGACAGTCTTGCTCTGTTGCCCAGGGTGGAGTGCAATGGCGTGATCTCAGCTGACTGCAACCTCCACCTCCCGGGTTGAAGCAATTCTCCCACCTCAGCCTCCCAAGTAGCTGGGACTACAGGCATGTGCCACCATGCCTGGCTAATTTTTGTATTTTTAGTAGAGACGGGGTTTCACCACGTTGGCCAGACTGCTCTTGAACTCCTGACCTCGAGTGATCCGCCCGTCTCGGCCTCCCAAAGTGCTGGGATTACAGGCATGAGCCACCGCGCCCGGCCAAAATGGGAAACTTCTAAGTATTTCTTGAAGGGACCAATGTTAGAATTGCATTTTAGAAGAACCCATCTGGCAGATGGATGATAAATGTACTGGAGGAAAAAAGCCAGAAGCAAGGAAACCTGTCAAGGAAAACACTATTAAATAAATAAATAAATAAATAAAGTGAGCTTCAAGTAGTAACAACAGAGATAGCGAGAAAGGATCTTGTTTGGGAAGAATCAGGAGCTAGATGCTAGATTGGGTGTAAGAAAACCTAGGTGCATCATCAGATTTATAACTTTGGAGATGAGGTAGATTTAGTATACAGAGGTAGGAAATACAGAACAGTCTAACAAAGAAGGGTAGAGGCCGGGCACAGTGGCTCATGCCTATAATCCCAGCACTTTGGGAGGCTGAGGCAGGCGGATCATTTGAGGTCAGGAGTTCGAGACGAGCCTGACATGGTGAAACCCTGCCTCTACTAAAAATACCAAAAAAATAAAAAATAAAAAAAAAATAAGCTGGGCGTGGTGGCGGGCGCCTGTAGTCTCAGCTACTCGGGAGACTGAGGCAGGAGAATTGCTTGAACCTGGGAGGCAGAGCTTGCAGTGAGCCGATATCGCGCCACTGCACTCCAGCCTGGGTGACAGCACGAGACTCTGTCTCAAAACAAAACAAAACAAAACAAAAAAAAAAAAACGGCCGGGCGTGGTGGCTCACGCCTGTAATCCCAGCACTTTGGGAGGCCGAGATGGGCAGATCACGAGGTCAGGAGATCGAGACCATCCTGGCTAACACGGTGAAACCCCGTCTCTACTAAAAACACAAAAAAATTAGCCAGGCGTGGTGGCGGGTGCCTGTAGTCCCAGCTACTCGGGAGGCTGAGGCAGGAGAATGGCGTGAATTCGGGAGGCAGAGCTTGCAGTGAGCCGAGATGACGCCACTGCACTCCAGCCTGGGCGACAGAGCGAGACTCCGTCTCAAACAACAATAACAACAACAACAACAACGGGGGTAGAGTGAGGGTTGATACAGGTGACAAGTCTTACTTGGGGCATTTTGTGTTTGAGATGTTCATGGCACAAGTTGAAAATATGGATTTATAGATTTGAAAGTCATTAGCACATATGTGGTAACAGAAGAGATGGCTGTACCAGATGCAGCTAGGGACAGCCAAATAGTCACGCACACAAACAGCCATAGCTTGCTGCTGGTTTTGGAGGTGGGCGCGCTTCTCCCTCATTCTTGGTGTTCCTCTCCACTGAGGGGGAGCTCCGTGAGCACAGCACTTGCAGCCTCTGCCTCCTCACCCACTTTGCTCAGGTCATGTGCACGCTGGGCTCTCCTGTGTTAGTTTTATGACTAGTAAAGGTGTCATGTTGATCTTACAGTCACACTGGGGGTTAGGGATTCAACCTGTGAATTTGGAAAGGGGAGGGGACATGATTCCGTTCATAACATGGGGTTACATCTTACTGAATGCCTACTCTTTTTTTTTTGAGACAGGATCTTGCTCTGTCACCCAGGCTAGAGTGCAGTGGCATGATCTCAGCTCACTGTGACCTCCGTCCTGGGTTCAAGTGATTCTCCCATTTTAGCATCTCGAGTAGCTGGGGCTATGGGTGCATGCAATCACGCCCGGATAATTTTTGTATTTGTAGTAGAGACAGGGTTTTCCCATGTTGGCCAGGCTGCTCTCGACCTTCTGCCCTCAAGTGAACCACCCATCTCGGCCTCCCAACGTGCTGGGATTACAGGCATGAGCCACCGTGCCGAGCCCTGAATGCCTACTCTTGACTAGACACTATGTATTTCACATTCATAATCTCATGTTCATCCTCACATTATAGTGTCCATTATTAACTTGGCCTTTATTTCCAGAATCTGAGTACTGGTCATGAAACAATTTATACTCCCTTACTTAGGTGACCAGATTTGGGGGCAAAGACAGCTTAGATAGAAACTTCTACTTGGCTCCTGATAAGCATGAGCATCTGGGAAGTTCCAGGTAATGCTTACCACAGTTCCTTTCTCCTTTCTTGTTTTTTGTTTGTTTTTCTTTGAGACGCAGTTTCGCTCTTGCTGCCCTGGCTGGAGTGCAATGGCGCGATCTCGGCTCACTGCAACCTCCGCCTCCTGGGTTCAAGCATTCTCCTGCCTCAGCCCCCCGAGTAGCTGGGATTACAGGTGCCTGCCACCACGCCCAGCTAATTTTTTGTATTTTTACTAGAGACAGGGTTTTACCATGTTGGCCAGGCTGGTCTCAAATTCCTGACCTCAGGTGATCCACCTGCCTCGACCTCCCAAAGTGCCGGGATTACAGGCGTGAGCCACCGCGCCCTGCCCTTTCTCCTTTCTTTCTTTTTTTTTTTTTTTGAGAGTCTCCCTCTGTCACCAGGCTAGAGTGCAGTGGCACGATCTCAGCTCACTGCCACCCTTGCCTCCCGAGTTCAAGCGATTCTCCTGCCTCAGCCTCCTGAGTAACTGGGACTACAGGCGCGTGCCACCAGCCCAGCAAATTTTTGTATTTTTGGTAGAGACGGGGTTTCACCATATTGGCCAGGATGGGCTCCATCTCTTGACCTCGTGATCCGCCCGCCTCAGCCTCCCAAAGTGCTGGGATTACAGGCATGAGCCATGGCGCCTAGTCTCTCCTTTCTTAAAGCTACCCCTCCTCCTTGTTCTCAGCTCCTCCCCATTCTCTACCTGCACTTGGTCACTTTCTTCTCCTAATTCCTGCCTCGGTTTGACCTCAGAAGCACTCCTTATTGCTGTTTCTGTGCCAGTCCCCCATGTGTGGACTGGGAGTGATTCTGTAGGCCACTCCATGTACTGCAATCCATCACCTAACTCATACTAGAGAATGCCTGTGTTACCAGTATAGCTGAAAAACAGCATTTATTTTTGTAGATGTGGCTGATTTTCATAAAGGTACCCTCCCCTCACCATTATATTAAATGGAGAAAGTAAAACTTACAGAGCTCTAGTGTCTTGCCCAAGGCCAGAGCGAGGGTCTGTTTTATTTTGTGGGACTTACTCTAAGCCCTGTGCTTTCTGAACTACGTCATGGAACTGCCCCTTCTCTTCTGTGTTCTACTCAGCCCCATGCTTTTGCTTCAGCCACTCAGGGTAATATCTCTCACTGACATTTATAATCCTTTAACTTCTTCTTTGACCTCTTTCTGCAGCATGTGGTACTGTGGGGTACTCATTATTATTATTATTATTTTCATTTGTTTAGAGATAGGGTCTCACTCTGTCACCCAGGCTGGAGTGCAGTGGTGCAAACATGGCTCACTGCAGCTTTAACCACCTGGGCTCAAGCAATCCTCCCACCTCAGCCCCCAAGCAGCTGGGACTACAGGTGCACACCACCATGCCCTGCTAATTTTTCTAAGTTTTGTAGAGATGGGGTTTCGCCATGTTGGCCAGGCTGGTCTCAAATTCCTGACCTCAGGTGATCCACTCACCTTGGCCTCCCAAAGTGCTCAGATTACAGGCATGAGCCACCGTGCCTCACCCATTATCTTTTAAAACTCTTTCTGAAAAGCATTTTTTAAAAATGTCTTTATTTTCACATTATTTTATTTTTAGTTCTGAATCTACCTGTTAAACTGTTGGCATTTCATTTATCTGATCACTGGCACTTTAGTTTTGTTTTTTGAGGTGTACCACATAAATAGCAGCCTATTCCCTACCCACAGGACTGTCCCAAACACAGGCGGCACCTTTTTCCTCTTTGTATAGATGCTGTGATTCTTTTTTCCTTTTTTTGAGACAGAGTCTCGCTCTGTCCTCCAGGCTGGAGTGCAGTGGTGAGATCTCGGCTCACTGCAAGCTCCGCCTCCCGAATTCACACCATTCTCCTGCCTCAGCGTCCCGAGTAGCTGGAACTACAGGCACCCGCCACCACGCCCGGCTAATTTTTTGTATTTTGTATTTTAACACGGGTTTTCACCGTGTTAGCCAGGATGGTCTTGATCTCCTGACCTCGTGATCTGCCCGTCTTGGCCTCCCAAAGTGCTGGGATTACAGGTGTGAGCCACTGCGCCCGGCCGACGCTGTGATTCTTGTAGCGACTTTGATCCCAGCAGATTCTGACTTCGGTAACTGGGGACCATGTTTTGTGCAACACACACAAAATTTATGAAGGTACTCAAATTTCCTAAGGAAGGCTGTAAGTTATCCTAACAGTAATGTCAAAGGCTGGGTGCGGTGGCTCATACCTGTAATCCCAGCACTTTGGAAGGCCGAGGTGGGCGGATCACGGATGTCAGGGGATGGAGACCATCCTGGCTAACATGGTGAAACCCCGTCTCTACTAAGAATACAAAAAATTAGCCAGAAGTGGTGGCAGACGCCTGTAGTCCCTGCTACTCGGGAGGCTGAGGCAGGAGAATCACTTGAACACAGGAGGTGGAGTTTGCAGTGATCTGAGATGGCGCCCCTGCACTCCAGCCTTGGTGACAGAGCGAGATTCCATCTCAAGAAAAAAAAAAAACGAGTAATGTCAAAGATTGACAGTCTGAGAGACAGATGAGGGTTTGCCAGAATAGCCTGGAAAATCTTATAATGTTAGATTAGGCGACAGGGCAAAAAAAAAATAGTGGTGCTGTGGACTGACAGTATTTTATCCTTTGGTATTTTCCTCAGAGACCCTAATGTTAAGTATAGTTCTTTGAGAACTGACATAACACTGTTGAAAATGCAGAGGGGTTAGATAAATAACACTGCCTGTTACTCACAGTGGTGGACTTTTAGGTGATTTAAGTAAAATTCAGAAGGAAAGAACACATGGGTAATCATTTTAACAAATGAGATAGTGGAAGACATTTATTTTTAGCAATATGGAAACATTCCAAGAAACAGAAGCCCTCTCACCATCTGAGAGAAAATGAAAATCCACTATGAGAGAAAACTGAAGACTTTAATACAGATTTAAGTAAAATGGCCTGGTAATGGAAAAGCTGACTGAGGAATATGTTCCTGGCTGTAACATTTCTTCACTCAGGCTGTAGTTTCTGAATTTAATGAAGGGATTATTGGATGACACTGAAGAGATCGTTGGACTAGCAGATCAGTGTGAATGTTTCCTCCACAACTGGCACGTCTTTCCTATGACGATTATTGAGGGAGATGTCTCTTTGACTGTCTATGGATTATTTGGAACTTTTGTCAAGGAGCCATAGAGTTCTGCAGACCACACACCTGTCCAGTGTGTCTGTAGCCAGTATTTTGTGATTTTTTTTCTTTTTTGAGACAAGATCTTGCTCTGTCACCCAGGCTGGAGTGCAGTGGTGTGAGCATGGCTCACTGCAGCCTCTGCCTCCTGGGCTCAAGCGATCCTCCTGCCTCAACCTCCCAAAGTAGCTGGGACCACAAGCATGCACCACAACGCCTGGCTGACTTTTATATTTTTTGTAGAGATGGAGTCTTGCAATGTTGCCTAGGCTGGTCTCAAACTTCTGGGCTCAAGCGATCCTCCCACCTGGGCCTCCCAAAGTAATGGGATTACAGGCGGGAGCCACTGTGCCCGATCTTACCCTGTGAATCCTTCAACCTGCCTCAACTTGAGCCAACAGAGCTGCTGGCACCTCCTGAAAGCCGACTGCGTGACTGCTGCATGGCCTGACCTAGAGGCTGGAGGGCTTCTCTTTGGCATGCACTGCAATGTGGGTCTTGAGCGCCCCCACGTACGTGAAGCTCCTTCCACACTCATCACAAGAAAAAGGCCTCTCCCCACTGTGAAGGCACAGATGGGCCTTCAGGCTTCTCTTCTGGAGGAAGCCTTTGCCACACTCGGGACACTGGAAGGGCCTCTCTCCACTGTGCTTATACAAGTGGACCTTCAAGCTGCCCCTGATGCAGTAGCTCTTGTCACACTCCGGACACTGGAAGGGCTTCTCCCCGCTGTGGACTCGAATGTGTTCTGTGAGCCGGTACTGTTGAGTGAAACTTTTGCCGCACATCACACAAGAGAATGGCTTTTGGCCACTGTGCTGCAGCAGGTGGCTTTTCAGGTTTCCCTTGAGGCGGAAAGTCTTCTCGCATTCAGGACACTGGTAGGGCTTCTCTCCACTGTGCAGCCTCAGGTGCTCGGTGAGCTGAGACTGATGCGTGTAGGTCTTGTCACACTCACCGCACGCGAAGGGCTTCTCGTCCCTGTGCATCCGCTGGTGGAACTTCATGGAGGCCTTCCAGGAGAAGCTCTTGTCGCACTCGGGACACTGGAAGGGCTCCTCGCCACTGTGAAGCCTCGTGTGCTCTGTGAGATGCGCGCGTCGGCGGAAACTGCGGCCGCACTCGGCGCAGGAGAACGGCTTTTCCGTGGTGTGGACCTTCAGGTGCTGCGTGAGCCGCGACTGCTGAGAAAAGGTCTTTTTGCACTCGCCGCAGGGAAACTCCTTCTGCCTGTCGTGGACTCTGGTGTGGCAGGCGAGCTTGGAAGGCCGCGTGAAGCGCTTGCCGCACTCGGCGCAGGGGAAGGGCTTTTGCTCGCTGTGCAGGCGCTGGTGGGCGCGCATGGCGTTCCTCCAGAAGAAGCCCCTGCTGCACTCCGGGCACTGGAAGGGCCGCTTCCCAATGTGCTGCAGCCCGTGGGCTTTCAGGCTTCTCTTGAGGCGGAAACTTTTGTTACACTCGGGACACGAAAAGGGCTTCTCTCCCGTGTGAACTCTGATGTGCTCGTCCAGCTTAATCTTGTAGATGAATTTCCTGCCACATTCACCACAAGAAAACGGCTTTTCCTCGCTGTGCGTCCTCTGGTGGGTCTTCAGGGCAGCCTTCCGGGAGAAGCTCCGGCCACACTCGGGACAGTGGAAGGGCCTCTTCCCGCTGTGCTGGGTCAGATGGACCTTCATGCCCCTCTTCAGGCGGAAGCACCGGTCACACTGCGGACACTGGAAGGGCTTCTCTCCGCTGTGCAGCCGCAAGTGCTCCGTGAGCTCGCACTGCTGCACGAAGGCCCGGCCGCACTCCCCGCAGCAGAACGGCCGCTCCCCGCGGTGTAGACACAGGTGCTTCTTCAGGTTGGCCCTGTACCGGAAGGTCTTGTCGCACTCAGGGCATGGGTAGGGCCGCTGGCCGGTGTGGACAACCTGATGAGTGACGAGGCTGCCCTTCAGGAAGTAGCTCTTCTCACACTCACTGCACTGGAACCGCTTCTTCTGACACAGGAGCCTCTGCGTCCGCCTGAGTTCGGACTTCCCTCTGGACGAGTTTTTGTACTTTGGGTATCTGCAGAGCTGGCTCTTGGAGTGGCTCCGTTTGTGCTTTAGCAAATCCCTCCTTACTTGGAAGACTTTCCTACAGACATAGCAGGAATAGCATCTTGGCCCTGTGGGAATTTCTAAGCGCCCTGGGGTCTCCCGAGGCTTATGCCGCAGGTCTTTCTTGTCTGGATCATATGCTGTGATGCTGACTTTTTTATTTAGAATCTCTGTTTCTCGGAGACTTGGAGACTGGAAGGTGGCTGTTTGAGCTAATAAAATCTTTCTCTCTTTCCCTCGTAAGGCAGCACACAAGTCCTGTTTTTGAGGACCATTTAAACGGCAATCCTCTTCTTTTGTCCTGGGAGTTCCTTCGTCATCTGGAGCAGAAAGAAGTATCACTCTCATCAGTGATATGTCTACCCTATAAATGGGTTCAAGGACTGTCTTTTAAAAATTTATTATTATTATTATTATTTTTTGCGATAGAGTCTCGCTCTGTTGTCCAGGCTGGATTGCAGTGGTGCGATCTCGGCTCACTGCAAGCTCCGCCTCCCGGGTTCACGCCATTCTACTGCCTCAGCCTCCCAAGTAGCTGGGACGACAGGCGCCCGCCACCACGCCCGGCTAATTTTTTGTATTTTTAGTAGAGACGGGGTTTCACCATGTTAGCCAGGATGACCTCGTGATCCACTGCCTCGGCCTCCCAAAGTGCTGGGATTACAGGCGTGAGCCACCGCGCTTGGCCTTTTTTAAAAAAAATTTTTTTCCTTTTTTTTTTTTTTTTGAGACGGAGTATTACTCTGTCGCCCAGGCTGGAGTGCAGTGGCACAATCCTGGCTCACTGCATCCTCCACCTCCTGGGTTCAAGCAATTCTCTGCCTCAGCCTCCTGAGTAGCTGGGATTACAGGCACCCACCACCACGCCTGGCTAATTTTTGTATTTTTAATAGAGACAGGGTTTCACCATCTTGGCCAGGCTGGTCTTGAATTCCTGACCTCCTGATCCACCCACCTCAGCCTCCCAAAGTGCTGGGATTACAGGCATGAGCCACCATGCCTGGCCTAAAATTTTTTGAGACAGTCTCACTCTGTTGCCCAGGCTAGAGTGCGGTGGCGTGATCTCGGCTCACTGCAACCTCTGCCTCCCTGGTTTAAGCAATTCTTGTGCCTCAGCCTCCTGAGTAGCTGGGACTATCCACCACCATACCCAGCTAATGTTTTGTATTTTTAGTAGAGACAGGGTTTCAGCATGTTGGCCAGTCTTGTCTCAAACTGACCTCAAACAATCCACCCACCTTGGCCTCCCAAAGTGCTGGGATTACAGGCATGAGCCACCGTGCCTAGCCATTCAAGGACTGTCTTCATGTCACTAACAAAGTAGAAAAGGGAATCCCACTGATCTCAATGACTTTGTCAATCTGCCTCCTGCAGGTAAATCATATTTAACTTTTATATTCTTTTCACCATGTGTTAAGAAATAACTTAGCATGAAAAAAATTGCAAGCAAATTGAAATTCATAGTTCACATCTTGTGAACTATAGGGTAAGCAGAAGTTGGAGACAGTGAAAATGAGTTACTCTGATCATCTGACTATACCATTACATCTATGAAATAAATGGCAAATATTTAAAGAGGTGGCCAGGCGCAGTGGCTCACACCTGTAATCCCAGCACTTTGGGAGGCTGAGGTGGGCAGATCACGAGGTCAGGAGTTGGAGACCAGCCTGGTCAATATGGTGAAACCCTGTCTCTACTAAAAATACACAGATTAGCTGGGTGTGGTTATGTGCGCCTGTAGTCCCAGCTATTCGGGAGGCTGAGGCAGGAGCATCTCTTGAACCCAGGAGACGGAGGTTGTAGCGAGCTGAGATCACACCACTGTACTCCAGCCTGGGTGACAAAGTGAGACTGTCTCAAAAAAAAAAAAAAAAAAATTTTTAAGGAGGACAGCTTAGGGCCATATTCTTGTCTCCCTTCTACCAGAGATTTCAGGAAAGATTTTCTGGAAGAAATGCTAATAGAAAATATTTTTCTTAGGAATATAAAAATGACAGCTTACTGAATTCACAAATAACACTGTAGAATTTTTTTCCTTTTCCAAAAAACTCTGCATTATAAGAATGATTTATTTATTTATTTATTTATTTATTTATTTATTTTTTTTCTGAGACAGAGTCTAGCTCTGTCGCCCAGGCTGGAGTGCAGTAGCGCGATCTCTGCTCACTGCAAGCTCCACCTCCCGGGTTCATGCCATTCTCCTGCCTCAGCCTCCTGAGTAGCTGGGACTACAGGCGCCCACCACCACGCCCGGCTAATTTTTTGTATTTTTAGTAGAGACGGGGTTTCATCATGTTAGCCAGGATGGTCTCGATCTCCTGACCTTGTGATCTGCCCGCCTTGGCTTCCCAAAGTGCTGGGATTACAGGCATAAGCCACCGCGCCTGGCCAAGAATGATATATTTATATAGCATAATCACTACTGTTCCCAAAGTAGAAGACATGATGACAGGAAATAGAGGAACCTGAGTTATCATTATTACCCACTAGATCTGGAAAGGACCATTGCAGATATTCACTTAAGCCATTATATTTCAGAACTGCTTTTCCTCCAAAGTCTTGTCGAACTGGATAATGGAACTCTCTCCCATTTATTTATTTATTTATTTATTTATTTATTTATTTATTTATTTTTGAGCTAGGTCTCACTATGTTGCTGCCCAGGCTAGAGTGCAGTGGCATGATCACATTTCACTGCAGCCTTGACCTCCAGGGCTCAAGTGATCCTCCAACGTTAGCCCCTACCTCCAAGTAGCTGGGACTACAGGCACACACCATCATGCTCAGCTAATTTTTTTTATTTTTTGTAGAGATGGGGTCTTGTTATGTTGCCCAGGCTAGTCTCAAACTCCTGGCTTCAACTAATCTTCCTGCCTCAGCCTCACAAAGTGCTGGGATTACAGGCATGAGCCACTGTACCTGAGCAAACTCTCAGCCTACAGGTACCCACTACCACGCCCGGCTAATTTTTGTATTTTTAGTAGAGACAGAGTTTCACCATGTTGGCATTTTTTAATCTCCTAACCTGGGAGGAAACCCAAGTGACACTGCCCCCAGAGGACTCTCATTATGCTCTGTGGTCACCTTAAGGACAACACAGGTGATGTTTTCAACATGATCATATGATTTAGTAAGTTAACACTAATACCTTTTGCCTGGATTGTGATGAAAGTATATTTACCTTGAATCCCCTTCCTCATCACTGGAAGTTAAATCTTCCTAAAAACATGCTTTTACTATTTAACCCAGGCAGACGAGCAGCTGTGATTATTGGCTGAGCACCACCTTGTACTAAGGGAACAACATTTATTTTTAGGGATAGCTACCAAAGTTGTTAACTCTTTGGTACTCAAAAATCCTTCCAGGACTGGGTGTGGTGGCTCACGCCTGTAATCCCAGCACTTTGGGAGGCTGAGGTGGGTGGATCACGAGGTCAGGAGATGGAGACCATCCTGGCTAACACGGTGAAACCCCATCTCTACTAATATACAAAAAATTAGCCGGGCATGGTGGAGTGTGCCTGTAGTCCCAGCTACTCGGGAGGCTGAGGCAGGGGAATCGTTTGAATCCGGGAGGTGGAAGTTGCAGTGAGCTGAGATTGCACCACTGCACTCCAGTTTGGTGACATAGCAAGACTCTGTCTAAGAAAAAAAATAAAAATCTTCCCAAGCTCCTCCCATTCTATAGGATGAAGTCAAACTTTCCACCTTGGCAATCCTGGCCTCACGTCGTCTAACACCAATTTATGTTTTTCCTCCCATGTCCCACTATGTCCCAAGAGAGTAACATTCAGTTACAGGCAGGTTGGTGTCTTCTCTGTTTTCTTTTTTCTTTCTTTTTTTTTTTTTTTGAAACGGAGTCTCGCTCTGTTGCCAGGCTGGAGTGCAGTGGCGCGATCTTGGCTCACTGCAACCTCCGCCTCCCGGGTTCACGCCATTCTCCTGTCTCACCCTCCTCAGTAGCTGGGACTACAGGCAGCTGCCACCACGCCTGGCTAATTTTTGTATTTTTAGTAGAGATAGGGGTTTCACCATGTTAGCCAGGCTGGTCTCGATCTCTCGACCTCGTGATCCACCCTCCTCAGCCTCCCAAAGTGCTGGGATTACAGGCATGAGCCACGGCACCCAGCCTAGTCTTCTCTGTTTTCTAAATGTAATAGATTTGTTCCTGTCTTTGAGCTTCAGTTCATGTATGACCCCTACTGATTCTTCTTTCTCTAACCAAATCTGCCCATTTTTTGCTATTTATATCCTAATTCCTTTTAGAGTCCTCCTGGGATATTGCTCTCTCTCCTCCGCTCCTTCTCCTCTAAATCCCTATAGCACAGAATTAGGGATTACTTAATATTTTATTAAGTCATATGCAATCTTATTTTATAGTTGACTAATTCAACTATGTATAGTTCAATATAATTGGCTAACTTAATTGCCATGTCAGTAAGACGATCAACATCTAGAATATAACAATTGTTTTATTCATATGTATACATACACATACATTATATAAAGTTTTTGCCCTCGCCTAACGTACTCCTGTGACTGTGGGAGGCACTCGATATTGGTTAGATGAGTGAATGAATAGACAGTGTCAATGAAATGAAACCCTTGATAATTCTTTATTTATTTTCTTTTTCTTTTTTTTTTTTTTGGAGACAGAGTCTCGCTCTGTCACCCAGGCTGGAGTGCAATGGCGCAATCTTGGCTCACTGCAACCTCCGCCTCCAGGGCTCAACCAATTCCCCTGCCTCCGCCTCCTGAGTAGCTGGGATAACAGGAGCCTGCCACCACACCTGACTAATTTTTGTATTTTCAGTAGAAACGGGTTTCATGATATTGGCAAGGCTGGTCTCGAACTCCTGACCTCATGTGATCCGACCTCCTCAGCCTCCCAAAGTGCTGAGATTATAGGCGTGAGTCACCGCGCCTGACCAGGAAATTCTTTTATCCTGTTGATGGGGCTTGGACACACTTCCTGGCCTCAAAGTCTCCTGCTTCAGAGGATTCCTTGACTCCCAAGAACCTAGAAAAGCATTTGTGCAGCCGGGCACGGTAGCTCACGCCTGTAATCCCAGCACTTTGGGAAGCCGAGGTGGGTGGATCACCTGAGGTCAGGAGTTCGAGACCAGCCTGGCCAACATGGTGAAACCCCATCTCTACTAAAAATATAAAAACTAGCCAGGCGTGGTTGTGGGTGCCTGTAATCCCAGCTACTCAGGAGGCTGAGGCAGGAGAATTGCTTGAACCCAGGAGATGGAGGTTGCAGTGAGCCCACACGGTGCCACTGCACTCCAGCCTCATCGACAGAGTGAGACTCCATCTCACAAAAAAAAAAAAAAGAAAAGCATTCGCGCACTATAAAAAGTGAAATACTCCCTTATGTCACAAGGAATTCAAAAGGAGTTTTAAAAACCCAAGTTTTAAAGTTCTGTATAATAAAAAAAATTTTGTACAAAATTACAGGGTTTTTCATTTCTGTATATTCAAATGGACATGACAGTGTGACAAGGAGTGGTTTTTCCTCTCAGGGTTTTGACAAATGGATCCCTTGTTCTTTTTTTTTTTTTTTTGAGACGGAGTCCCACTCTGTCGCCCAGGCTGGAGTGCAGTGGTGCAATCTCGGCTCACTGCAAACTCCGCCTCCTGCATTCCAGCAATTCTCCTGCCTCAGCCTCGCGAGTAGCTGGGATTACAGGCATGCGCCAACACCCCCGGCTAATTTTTGTATTTTTAGTAGAGAGGGGGTTTCGCCATGTTGGCCAGGCTGGTCTCGAACCCCTGACCTCAGGTGATCCACCCGCCTTGACCTACCAAGGTGCTAGGATTACAGGCATGAGCCATCACGCCCGGCCATCCCTTGCCCTTTACAAGGAATTGTCATCTTCTTCCCAGGATTTGTTTTTTTTTAAATAACATATATCACCACACCAGGCATGGTGGCTCACGTCTATAATCCCAGCACTTTGGAAGAGCAAATGGGTGGATCACTTGAGGTCGGGAGTTTGAGACCAGACTGGCCAATATGGCGAAACACTGTCTCTACTAAAAATACAAAAAATTAGCCGGGTGTCGGGCGCGGTGGCTCATGCCTGTAATCCCAGCACTTTGGGAGGCCGAGTTGGATGGATCACAAGGTCAGGAGTTTGAGACCAGCCTGGCCAATATGGTGAAACCCCTTCTCTACTAAAAATACAAAAAAATTAGCCAGGTGTGGTGGCAGGCATCTGTAGTCCCAGCTACTCTGGAGGCTGAGGAAGGAGAATCCCTGGAACCCGGGAGGCAGAGGTTGCAGTGAGCCGAGATTGCACAGTTGGGCTCCACCCTGGGTGACAGAGCAAGACTCTGTCTAAAAAAAAAAAAAAAAAAAAAAAAAAAAAAATTATATATCTATATAAAACTTTCTGTATGAGAGTAATACATAATACAGTCTCACATTTGCTACCCTCTCTTTTTTTGAGATGGAGTCTCGCTCTGTCTCCCAGGCTGGAGTGCAATGGCATGACATTGGCTCACCACAACCTCCGCCTCCCACGTTCAAACAATTCTCCTGCCTCAGCCTCCAGAGTAGCTGGGATTGTGGGTGCCTGCCACCACGCCCAGCTAATTTTTTTGTATTTTTAGTAGAGATGGGGTTTTACCATGTTGGCCAGGCTGGTCTGGAACTCCTGACCTCAGGTGATCCACCCACCTCAGCCTCCTAAAGTGCTGAGATTACAGGCATGAGCCACCACGCCCAGCCCACATTTGCTACCCTCTTGAGTAAAGAAAACTAACATTCTCCATCAAAACAACTTTTTTTATTGACTAGATCTAGTCAGATATCCAAAAAGAAAGATTCAGGAAACAAGGCTAGGAAAATAAAATAATTCATGATCTTAAATCCATCTTACTCACCAAAACATAGCAACTTTCCAGTATTCTTCATGTTCAACTGTTCATCAGTAGGAGGGCTAGTTGTCCTTCTTGTTTTATCTAAGCATCCCTGTTCGCTGATTAATAGCATTCTCCCTTGTTCCATCCATGTGATCAAATCTGGCTTGGAAAAAGCATACCCTGCAAATAGAGTCCACACAGACTTTGAGTTTACTGCATACTTAAATAATTTTTTTGGCCGGGTGTGGTGGCTCACGCCTGTAATCCCAGCACTTTGGGAGGCCAAGGCAGGCAGATCTCTTGAGGTCAGGAGTTAGAGACCAGCCTGGCCAACACAGCAAACTCCGTCTCTACTAAAATTACAAAAATTAGCTGGGCGTGGTAGCACACGCTTGTAATACCAGCTACTCGGGAGGCTGAAGTGCGAGAATCACTTGAACCTGGGAGATGGAGGTTATAGTGAGTAGAGATCGCGCCTCTGCACCCCAGCCTAGGCAACAGACCGAGACTCCGTTTCAAAAAAAATTATTTTTAAAAATTATTATCATTATTATTTTATTTTATTTTTGAGACAGGGTCTCACTCTGTCACCCATGCTGGAGTGCAGTGGTACAATCTTGGCTCATTGCAACCTCTGCCTCCCGGGGATCAACTGATCCTCCCACCTCAGCCTCCTGAGTAGCTGGGACTATAGGCATGCGCCACCATGCCCTGCTAATTTTGTATTTTTATAGAGATAGCGTTTTGCCACGTTGCCCAGGCTGGTCTCAAACTGCTGGGCATAAGCAGTCTGCCTGCGTCGGCCTCCCAAAGTGCTGGGATTATAGGGGTGAGCCACCGCGCCCAGCCCCGTGACCCTTTTTTTTTTTTTTTTTTTTTTAGACAGAGTATCGCTCTGTCTCCCAGGCTGGAATGCAGTGGTGCGATCTCGGCTCACTGCAACCTCCACCTCCCAGGTTCAACCAATTCTCCTGCCTCAGCCTCCCGAGTAGCTGGGATTACAGGTACGTGCCACCATGCCTGGCTAATTTTCATATTTTTAGTAGACAGGGTTTCACCATGTTGGCCAGGATAGTCTCGAACTCCTGACCTCAAGAGATCCACCCACCTCAGCTTCCCAAAGTGCTAGGATTACAGGCATGAGCCACCGTGCCCGGCCTCTCTCTCTTTTTTACCATTACCCACAATAAAAATCATTTTCATAGTTGACTTCGATTCCTAGAGACGTTGAGATCAAAGTTAAGTCAAAAAAATGAAAGCCGTTGAAATGACATGAATGACAATAGAATAAAGCCTTACCAAGACTTTAGTTCAGGCCAGGTGCAGTGGCTCATGCCTGTATACCCAGAACTTTGGGAGACTGAGGTGGGAGGACTGCTTGAGCCCAGGAGTTTGAGACCAGCCTGGGCAACATAGGGAGACCCCATTCCTACAAATTTTTTTTTTTTTTTTTTGAGACGGAGTCTCACTCTGTCGCCCAGGCTGGAGTGCAGTGGCATGATCTCAGCTTACTGGCAGCTCCACCTCCCAGGTTCATGCCATTCTCCTGCCTCAGCCTCCCGAGTAGCTGGGACTACAGGCGCCTGCCACCACGCCCGGCTAATGTTTTGTATTTTTAGTAGAGATGGGGTTTCACCGTGTTAGCCAGGATGGTCTCAATCTCCTGACCTCGTGATCCACCCACCTTGGCCTCCCAAAGTGCTGGGATTACAGGCGTGAGCCACCGCACCTGGCCCAAAAATTTTAAAAATTAGCCAGGTGCGGTGGTGTATGCCTGTGGTCCCAGCTACTCAGCAGGCAGAGTTGGGAGGATCACTTGAGCCCATGAGTTTGAGGCTGCAGTGAGCTGTGATTGTGCCACTGCACCCAGCCTAGGTGATAGAGAGAGACTCTGTCTAAAAAAAAAAAAAAAAAAAAGACTGTTCAGTTTAAATATCCTCTGCAATATTTCACAAAATTTTTTGAGACAGTCTTGCTCTGTTGCCCATACTGGAGTGCAGTGGTGTGATCTTGGCTCACTGCAACCTCTGCCTCCCGGGTTCAAGCGATTCTCCTGCCTCAGCCTCCTGAGTAGGTGGGACTACAGGGGTGCAACACCACGCCCAGCTAATTTTTTTTTTTTTTTTTTTGGTATTTTTAGTAGAGACGGGGTTTCACCAAGTTGGTCAGGCTGGTCTGGAACACCTGACCTCATGATCCACCTGCCTCAGCCTCCCAAAGTGCTGGAATTACAGGCGTGAGCCACTGCGCCCAGCCTTTTTTTTTTTTTTTTTTTCTTTGAAATGGAGTCTCACTCTGTCACCAGGCTGGAGTGCAGGGCACAGTCTGGCTGGAGTGCAGTGGCACAGAGTGGCTCACTGCAACCTCCGCCTTCCGAGTTCAAGCAATTCTCCTGCCTCAGCCTCCTGAGTTGCTGGGATTGCAGGTGTGCGCCACCATGCCCGGCTAATTTTTTGTATTTTTAGTAGCGATGGGGTTTCACTATGTTGGCCAGGCCGGTCTCGAATGCCTAACCTCATGATCCACTCACCTTGGCTTCCCAAAGTGGTGGGATTACAGGCGTGAACCACTGTGCCCGGCCCAATATTTCACAAAATAATTAAAGGAAGCAGACAAGTTAAGGATGATATGGATTTAAAAAAGTGATCATTATGAGAACACTGTGAGTAAAAAAAAAAAAAAAGAAAAGAAAAGAAAAGAAAACTTACAGGGAGTTAAGGAGGGAACTTCAATCACTAAACTTTTCTGATGAGATGGCTCACATCCAATCCTCACCATTGAGGTACCAAAATTCTTTTTTTCTTTTCTTTCTTTTCTTTTTTTTTTTTTTTTTTTTTGAGACAGAGTCTTACTCTGTCACCCAGGCTGGACTGCAGAGTTGTGATCTTGGCTCACTGCAACCTCCAACTCCCAGGTTCAAGCAATCCTCCCACCTCAGCCTCCTGAGTAGCTAGGATTACAGACGTGTGCCACCACGCTGGCTAATTTTTTTTTTTTTTTTTTTTTGTATTTTTAGTAGAGATGGGGTTTCACTATGTTGGCCAGGCTGGTCTCAAACTCCTTATCTCAAGTGATCTGTCCGCCTCGACCTCCCAAAGTATTGGGATTACAGGCATGAGCCCCCACGCCTGGTGAATATCGAGGTACCAACATTCTTGATCAGTGAAGTGATAGAAACAGGAGGTTGTTAAATAACAGTGATTAAGAGGTAGAAAGTAATGCAGTCTAGTGGCATAAGCCTAAAAGAAGGGTTTTTTGCTGGGTGCGGTGGCTCACGCTTGTAATCCCAGTACTTTGGGAGGCTGAGGCGGGCGGATCACCTGAGGTCAGGAGTTCGAGACCACCCTGGCCAACATGACCACCCTGGCCAACATGACCACCCTGGCCAACATGGTGAAACCCTGTCTCTACTAAAAATATAAAAATTAGCCAGGTGTGGTGGCGCACGCCTGTAATTTCAGCTACTCAGGAGGCTGAGGCAGGAGAATAGCTTGAAACTGGGAGACAGAGGTTGTAGTGAGCCGAGATCGTGCCATTGCACTCCAGCCTGGGTGACAGAGCGAGACTCCGTCAAAAAAAAAAAAAAAAAAGAAGGGTTTCCATAAATCAGTAGAGGGTCTTCAGAGTAGGCAGCAGGAAGCCTCTTCCTCTGAGCCTTTGGTGGTGTCAGCTACAGCTCAGCCCTCAGATCAAGGCTTCATCTCCAAGGGAAGTGGGTACCGCCAGCATTAGCAGCACCTCAAGTACTTGTGAAAAATGTAGATCCCTGGGCCTGAGCCCGAACCTGCTAAATCCTAAGCGCTGGGGCTGGGATCTGGATGTTCTATACGGAAAATCATTGGCAGGTAATACCATTTGATTTTTAAAATTTGGAAAAATCTGGCTAAATTTTCCAAGTTGAAGGACACTAATTGTGATACCTCACAACAAGACTGGATCAGCACACAGCTCTCATCTGTCCCACCCTGCTGGCTCCTGGGCCTCGGTGTCCTCAGGTTAGCCTCTAAATGAGTTGTTGTCCCAGGTCTCTTTCTGTTCTGTCTACACAATTCTCCCTGGATGATCCCAAACCAGCCCCATAGTTTAAAATACCATCACTATAACGTCTTCCAATTCTGTAAATCCAGTCCTAACCTTAACATGGAATTCCAGTTTCACATACTTTATGTTTCCATGGAAATGTATATGAGCATCTCAGATGTAATGTGGCACAAATGTGCGACCTCCCTAACCTTCCTCCTGTTAGTGAACAAAGCCACTTGCCATCAGGATACTCAAACCAAAAATCAAGGAGTTGATTCTTCTTTTTTTCCACATCTAATCCATCAGCAAAATCTAGGATTCTGCCTCTAAAGCCTATCTGGAGACCATCTTCTTCTGTCTTAATTACTACCTACCTGGTTCAGCTGCCATGAAATCGCACCAGAACGGCCAACACTCTTGGCTAGTGTCTCTCCTTTCATTGCTGTCCACTATGATTCATTCTCCACATAGCAACCCAAGTAACCATTTTAAAAGTAAATCACTCCCCTCTGTTTAAATCCCCCCATCATCTTCCCCTTGTGCTGAGAATAAAATCCAACTCCTTATCTTGTCCTTTGGGGCCCTTCCTCACCAGCCTTCTGTGCAGATCCTACCACAGGCTCAGTGTAGGTCTCAACAACCTGAGCCCAGGCACTCCTACCCTGGGGCCTTTGCCCTAGTTTTTCTCTGCTTAAAATTGTCTTCCCCCTAATTTCACATGGTTGATTCTTGTCATTCCTATCTCACACAATAAAATATAAATCCCCCAAGCAGGGAATGAGTCCTTCAGGCTAGACTGAGATCACTTATTATATTGATACCAGTAGAAATGGTTTTAATGAGGCCAGGCGTGGTGGCTCATGCCTGTAATCCCAGCACTTTGGGAGGCTGAGGTGAGCAGATCACGAGGTCAGGAGTTCGAGACCAGCCTGGCCAACATGATGAAAACCCATCTCTATTAAAAATGCAAAAAAAAATTAGCCAGCGCGGTGGCGGGCACCTGTAGTCTCAGCTACTTGGGAGGCTGAGACAGGAGAATCACTTGAACCCAGGAGGCAGAGGTTGCAGTGAGCGGAGATTACACCACTGCACTCCAGTATGGACTCCGTCTCAAAAAAAAAAAAGAAATGGTTTTAATGATACAAGAATGTGTCAGAATAAGCCGGATAAGCAGCAAGTTATAATTTCCCCAAATTTCTCTTTAATCTTTTTAATCTACTCCTTGAGTATGTCCCTGGAGTTACCTAAGTGTCCCATCCCACTGCTCTCTCCTCCCTTCCTCTACCCTTTTCTTGCCTGTTATATTCACACCATGCACTATGTTGCATCCCAGCTTATTCTCACTTAATCACTCTGTCCCCTTCATGAAACCAATAGTTCCTTGAAGATGAGAAATTCATCTTATTCAGGCAGGCAACACAATAAGGAGGCATGAAAGTATTAAAGAAATAAAAGAATACACTTCTTTTAAAAAAAAAGGGGCAATTAGATTACTTAGTAATTCTTTTTTTTTTTTTTTTTTTTTTTTTTTTGAGATGGACTCTTGCTCTGTTGCCCAGGCTGGAGTGCAATGGCACGATCTTGGCTCAATGCAACCTCCGCCTCCCAGGTTCAAGCGATTCTCCTGTCTCAGCCTCCCCAGTAGCTAGGATTACAGGCATGCACCAACATGCCCAGCTAATTTTGTATTTTTAGTAGAGACAGGGCTTCTCCATGTTGATCAGGCTGGTCTCGAACTCCTGATCTCAGGTGATCCACCCGCCTCAGCCTCCCAAAGTGCTGGGATTACAGGCGTGAGCCACCGCGCCTGGCCAGATTACTTAGTAATTCTAATTGTGGGAGACATTGGGGAGGGTTAAGGTAGGAGACAGAGAATTTAGAGTATTAATAATACTGAAGGCAAAGATACCACTGGATAAAAAGGAATTTAATATTCCCAGGCCATTATAGGAAAGGGAGGAGACATTATGAATGTAAACTGGGCACAGTATCATATTCAACCAGCCCACGGCTCATACAGGGAAGGAAGCCTGGTACTATTAGGTTGGTTCCTAAAAAGTGATTCCTTAGAAGCTCATCTTACCCAGGGAATCAAGGGTCTCGTAATTGGTCTTCATCTCTTGCTTATACATTTGCTTCTGCCACTTCTCCAGGATCTCCCACTCTTGTTCCGAAAAATATAAGGCCACATCATCAAATGTCACAGTTACCTGGAATCACAAATAGTATACACATACATTTTTACTTTACGGCTACTTTGTTTTTCAATGTCCATTACTTTATTGAGATACAGAAAGAAAACATGTTAATTATTTCTGGATGGTGCCATATTATAAAATAAACAACAAAGGGGTCACAAATATCCACTGGAGCCAAGTAAAATGAATGAATGGGCCGGGCCCAGTCGCTCACGCCTGTAATCCCAGCACTTTGGGAGGCCAAAGTGGGTGGATCACCTGAGGTCAGGAGTTTGAGAGACCAGCCTGGCCAACATGGCAAAACCTCATCTCTACTAAAAATTAAAAAATTAGCTGGGCGTGATGGCACATTCCTGTAGTCCCAGTTACTCAGGAAGCTGAGGCAGGAGAATCGTTTGAACCCGGAAGGCAGAGGTTGCAGTGAGTTGAGATCCTGCCACTGCACTCCAGCCTGGGCTACAGAGTGAGCCTCTGTCTCAAAAATAATAAAAATAAACTAAAATGAATGAATGAATAGCAGGCCTTTGAGCACAAAGACCATCTAAAAAGGGATGCTTTACTTAGCAGCAACCAGTTACTGCTGTGGAAGACTGGGTCTAGTATTGCTGGATGTGTCAGTTTTTGAAAAATGTTTTACTTTGAAATAATTATACATTCACAAGATGTTGTAAAAACAGCACAGAAGGCTTCCATGTAAGTGTGCCTATAGTCCCAGCTACTTGGGAGGCTGAGGCGGGAGGACTGCTTAAGTTCAGGAGTTTGAAACCAGCCTAGATTTTTTTTTTTTTTTTTTGAGATGGAGTCTCTCTCTGACACCCAGGCTGGAGTGCAGTGGCTCAATCTCGGCTCACTGCAAAGTCTGACTCCCAGGTTCAAGTGATTCTCCTGCCCCAGCCTCCCAAGTAGCTGGGATTACGGGGTGTGCCACCATGCCTGGTTCGAGAGACCAACCTGGCCAACGTGGTAAAACCTCATCTCTACTAAAAATACAAAAATTAGCTGGGTGTGGTGGCACGCCTGGATTAAGGCACGAGCCACTACGCCTGGCCCAAAAATTATTTTTAAAAAGGTTCCATGTACCCTTCACCCACTTTACCCAAAAGGTCATATTGTATATTATAGTACAATATCAAAACAAGTAAACTGACATTGGTGCAATGTGTACATATAATTCTGTTATTTCATCGCATATGCTCACTCATGTAACCACCACTGCAATCAAAAAACACAACTACAGTCAGCCTTTGTATTCACAGGTTCCACATCCATAAATTCGACCAACCTTAGATCAAAACTGCTTTAAAAATAAAAGCCAGGTATGGTAATCCCAGCACTTTGGGAGGCTGAGGTGGGAAGACTGCTTGAGCTCAAGTTTGAGACCAGCCTGAGCAACATAGCAAGACCTCATCTCTATTAAAAAATAAAATAAAGTAAAATTTTAAATAATGTATTTTAAAATGCAAGAATATACTACAAATTTTTTAAAATCCAGCATAACTATTTACATAGCGTTTATATTGTATTAGGTATTATAAGTAATTGAGACATGATTTATGTACAAGAAGATGTGCACGGGGTATATGTAAATTCTACCATTTTATATAAGGGACTTGAGCATCCATGGATTTTGGTATCTGTGAGGGGTCCTGGAACCAATCCCTTGCGGATACTGACAGACAACTGCATCCCATCACCACAAAGAGCTCCCTTGTTGCAACCCTTTATAATCACAACCACGAATCTATTATCCATCACAATTCTGCCATTTCAAGAATGTTGGCTGGGTACAGTGGCTCACCCCTGTAATCCCAGTACTTTGGGAGACTGAGGCAGGCAGGAGTTTGAGACCAGCCTGGCCAACATGGTGAAACCCCGTCTCTACTAAAAATACAAAAGTTAGCCGGGCATTGTGGCACATGCCTGTAGCCCCAGCTACTCGGGAGGCTGAGGCAGGAGAATTGCTTGAACCTGGGAGGCGTAGTTGGCAGTGAGCTGTGACTGTGCCACTGCACTCCAGCCTGGGCGACAGAATGAGACTCTGTCTCAAAAAAACAAACAAAAAAAGTTATATAAATGGAATCACATGGTATGCGACCTTCTGAAATTGACTTTTTTCTCTCAGCATAATGTCCTTGAGATCCATCCAAGTTGTCATGTTTACCAATATAGTCATGTGCCACACGATGCTTCAGTGAGAGACCACATATACAACAGTGGTCCTATAAGATTATAATATTGCATTTTTACTGGACGTTTATGTTTAGATACACAAATACTTACTATTGTGTTACAACTGCCTACGGTATTCAGTACAGTAACATGCTATACAAGTTTGTAGCCTAGGAGAAATAAGCTATACCATCTAGGTTTTTGGAAGCACACTCTGATGTTTGCACAACCACAAAATTGCCTAACAATGTGTTTCTCAAAACACATTCTTGTCGTTAAGCAACCCAGGACTGTATTTCATTTCTTTTTTTATTGCCGAGTAGTATTCCATGGTATGGATGCACCAGTTTGATTAGCCATTCACCTACTGAGAAATATTTTGGTTTTAACTTTTTGGATATTAACAAAAGAGCTGTTATGGACAATCATGTACAGGATTTGGGGTGGGCATGTTTTTATTTTTCTGGGGTAAATGCCCAGGACTACAACTGCTGTGTCATATGATGAGTATTTGTTTAGTTTTTAAAGAAAATGCCAAACTATATTCCAGAGTGGCTGGGCCATTTTACATTCCTTTTTTTTTTTTTTTTTTTTTTTTTTTTTTTTGAGACGGAGTCTCGCTCTGTCGCCCAGGCTGGAGTGCAGTGGCGGGATCTCGGCTCACTGCAAGCTCCGCCTCCCGGGTTCACGCCATTCTCCTGCCTCAGCCTCCCAAGTAGCTGGGACTACAGGCGCCCGCCACTACGCCCGGCTAATTTTTTTTGTATTTTTAGTAGAGACGGGGTTTCACCGTTTTAGCCGGGATGGTCTCGATCTCCTGACCTCGTGATCCGCCCGCCTCGGCCTCCCAAAGTGCTGGGATTACAGGCGTGAGCCACCGCGCCCGGCCTTTTTTTTTTTTTTTGAGAGGGAGTCCCGCTCTGTGGCCCAGGCTGGAGTGCAGTGGTGTGATCTCGGCTTACCACAACCTCCGCCTCCCGGGATCAAGTGATTCTCCTGCCTCAGCCTCACGAGCAGCTGGAACTGCAGGCGTGCCCCACCATGCCCGGATAATTTTTGTATTTTTAGTAGAAATGGGGTTTCACTATGTTGGTCAGGCTGGTCTTGAACTCCTGATCTTGTGATCCGCCCACCTCGGCCTCCCAAAGTGCTGGGATTACAGGCCTGAGCCATTATGCCTGGTCGCCATTTCACATTCCTACCAGCAATCTATAAGACAGCATTTCTTAGCACCATCGCCAGCATTTGGCAATGTCACTACTTTTAACTGTTCTGATAGGTGTATAGTGATCTCTAACTGTGGCTTTAATTTGGTTTTCCTAATGAGTAATGATGTTAAACATCTTTTTATGTGTTTTTTCCCATGAAAATATTCTCTTTGGCAAAATGCCACTTTATATATTTTGCCCGTTTTCTTTGTTTTTTTTTGAGACGGAGTCTCGCTCTGTCACCCAGGCTGGAGTGCAGTGGTGCAATCGCGGCTCACTGCAAGCTGCATCTCCCAGGTTCACGCCATTCTTCTGCCTCAGCCTCCTGAGTAGCTGGGACTACAGGCACCCGTCACCACCGCCGGCTTTTTTTTTTTTTTTTTGTATTTTTGTATTTTTAGTAGAGATGGGGTTTCACCATGTTAGCCAGGATGGTCTCGATCTCCTGACCTCGTGATCCGCCCACTCTCGGCCTCCCAAAGTGCTGGGATTACAGGTGTGAGCCACCACTCCCGGCCATCTTTTGCCCATTTTCTAATTGGATTTTTTTTTAACTGTCCAAGGAAGATTCTTTTTTTTTTTAAATAAAGATGGTGTCTTGCTACATTGCGCAGGCTAATCTGAAACTCCAGGGCTCAAGCAATCCTCCTGCCTCAGGCTCCGGAAGTGCTGGGATTATAGGCAGGAGCCACCTTGCCTAGCTGAGCTCTTTATGTAGTCTAGACAGGAGTCCTTTGTCAGATATGTGGTTTGCAAATTTTGGCCCCAGTCCGTATCTTTTCACGCTCTTAACAGGATCCTTCAAAAAGCAAGTTTTAAATTTTGATTATGTCCAATTTATCACTTTTTTCCCTTTATTGATTGTGCTGGTGGTACACCACCAGGGACTTCCCACTGTGCCCTAGGTTCCAAAGATTTTCTCCAGTGTCACCTTCTACAGGTTTTGTAGCTGTGTTTTACATTGAGACGTGGGTTTTTTGTTTTTGTTTTTGTTTTTTTGTACACGGAGTCTCGTTCCGTCGCCCAGGTTGGAGTGCAATGGCGCAATCTCGGCTCACTACAACCTCTGCCTCCTTGGTTCAAGCAGTCCTCCTGCCTCAGCCTCCTGAGTAGCTGGGATTACAGGCATGTGCGACCACGCCCAGCTAATTTTGTATTTTTAGTAGAGACGGGGTTTCACCATGTTGGCCAGGCTGGTCTTGAACTCCTAACCTCAGGTGATCTACCCACCTCAACCTCCCAAAGTGCTGGGATTTACAGGTGTGAGCTACCACACCCGGCCTGGGATGTGTCATTTTCTTAAAGAGAAACTGGAAACATAGATCATTTTATGTGAACTCATGTTGGCAACTAAAATTCCCAATTTTAACAGGGGTGTTTCAAACAAAATGTCTGCAAGCCATGATTGGCTCATGGACCATTAACCTACAACCTCTAGTATGGACTGAACTAACCAGGGCGGCTCTTCCTGGGTGTTTGAGGACAGATCCACTGTGTCAAGAGGGAAGCAACAGAACATGTGTAACTTTTGAAAATTCCATTTTCACTCCTTTCAGATTCTGTGCTATAAATATAGATGACAGCCTACTAGCAAAGTACTGGACATCTTGAAAGATGGCTAAGGCTCTTCCCAAGTATATAGAAAATGTTGGTCAGAAGCACTACAAGTCTCCCAATAAGAGAATCTAGGAGACCTGACGTTTAACACTTAGGCTTTTGGAGATAAAAGTTTCAGAGCTAAAATTCTATCTAAACTATCATAAGCCCTGAAAGCTTAAGTATCAGCTATTATGACAAACAAGTTCAAACTTGTTTTATTTTCATTTATTTATTTATTGAGGCGGAGTCTCGCTCTGTCCCCAGGCTGGAGTGCAGTGGCACAATCTTGGCTCACTGCAACCTCTGCCTCCCAGGTTCAAGAGATTCTTCTGTCTCAGCCTCCCGAGTAGTTGGGTTTACAGGAGCGCGCCACCACACCCGGCTAATTTTTCTATTTTTAGTAGAGACCGGGTTTCGCCATGTTGGCCAGGCTGGTCTGGAACTCCTGACCTCAGTTGATCCGCCCGCCTCGGCCTCCCAAAGTGCTAGGATTACAGGCGTGAGCCACTGCGCCCGGACTTGCTTTTTCTTTTTTTTTTTTTTTTTCCTTTTTGAGACGGAGTCTCGCTCTTTCGCCCAGACTGGAGAGCAGTGATGCCATCTCGGCTCACTGCAAGCTCCGCCTCCCGGGTTCACGCCATTCTCCTGACTCAGCCTCCCGAGTAGCTGGGACTACAGGCGCCCACCACCACACCCGGCTAATTTTTTGTCTTTTTAGTAGAGACGGGGTTTCACCGTGTTAGCCAGGATGGTCTTGATCTCCTGACCTCGTGATCCGCCCGGCTCGGCCTCCCAAAGTGCTGGGATTACAGGCCTGAGCTACCACGCCTGGCCTGGCCTTGCTATTTATTTATTTATTTTTGAGATGGAGTCCCCTCTGTCGCCCAGGCTGGAGTGCAGTGGCGTGATCTTGGCTCACTGCAAGCTCCACCTTCCGGGTTCACGCCGTTCTCCTGCCTCAGCCTCCCAAGTAGCTGGGACTACAGGCCCCCGCCACCACGCCCGGCTAATTTTTTGTAATTTTAGTAGAGAGGGAGTTTCACCGTGTTAGCCAGGATGGTCTCGATCTCCTGACCTCATGATCCGCCCGTCTTGGCCACCCAAAGTGCTGGGATTACAGGCGTAAGCCACCACGTCCGGATGGCCTTGTTATTTTTACAATGTGATTTCAACCAAATTCCTCTACAGTTTTATTGTACCTCACCCATATTTTTTTGTTGTTGTTGTTGTTGTTGGTTTTGTTTTTGAGACGGAGTTTCGCTCTTGTTGCCCAGGCTGGAGTGCAATGGCACGATCTCGGCTCACTTCAACCTCTGCCTCCTGGGTTCAAGCGATTCTCTTGCCTCAGCCTCCCCAGTAGCTGAGATTACAGGCATGCACCACCATGCCAGGCTAATTTTGTATTTTTGGTAGAGACGGGCTTTCTCCATGTTGGTCAGGCTGGTCTCGAACTCCCGACCTCAGGTGATCCGCCCGCCTCAGCCTCCCAAAGTGCTGGGATTACTGGCGTGAGCCACCACGCCCGGCCACCCATGTGTTTTCCACCTATAAAATTCCCATTTATGACCACATTTACAATTAGCATTAAACTGCTACAGTGGAAAGGAAAATCAAGAAAACGATTTTTCCTTGCCTATCCCAAATAATACATTAGCCAATAAACTGTTACCACATTTTCTATAAATTCAATGTACAAAGAAGAGCTACCACAAACTTTCCCAGAACAGAGAGGAATATTCCAGGAGATTCCCAATCACTTAAAGAGGAGAGAAAAAAAGAAAGCCTGGCTGTAGAAACAAAGCTTGGAGAAATCAGAAAAGAATCTGTACCTGCCAAAGGAGGGTGGGGAAAAGGAGTGGGAAGCAAAAGGGAAGAATCAAATGCAAATAAGGAGCATTACATTCCTAAGATTATAAAATTTCATTGGGGGCACAAGAAAAACTTGCACACTTAAGCAAGTTATACTTAACTGAATGTAACAGGGTTTCTTGGATTAAGCCTCAGGATACGCCTTTCAAACTCTAAAACCGGTGCTCAAATTTTCAATACTACATTACAATACTACAGCATTTACGGTAAATTCGATTTACGCTAACCACCCAATTCATTTTAAGTTTTCTGTCCTTTCCTAGAGGGAGCGGTCTCCAATTTCTCTCAGTTCCAGCTTTCCTTCTCCTTTTTCTCATCTGCTTAACACTGATGTGCTTCTCTGAAACTACCTTCAGCAGGAGAGCACGGGCCCCAGAGAGACCCCGAGGTTCAGAGCCCCGACACTGAAGGCAGGGACAGCGTTGTTGATCTGAGCCTACAACAGGCCGAGAAACAGATCTTTCCCACCCGGATTCTTTCTCCCAAACCAACTTTTATTTATGTATTAAACAGACGGGGTCTGGCTGTTGCCCAGGCTGGAGGGCAGTGGCTATTCACAGGCGCGATCCCACTAACGATCAGCACTGGGGTTTTGCCCTGCTCGGTTTCCGAGCTGGGCCGGTTCCCCCTCCCTGGGGAACCTGGTGGTCCCCGCTCCCGAGAGGTCACCACACAGATGCAGAACTCAGAGGCACCGCGCGACGGACCTAGCGCATATACAGCGCAGAGCTCCCGGGCTCAAGCGCTGCTCCCGCCTCAGCCTTCCGAGTGGCCGGGGCCACAGACGCGCGCGGCCAAGCCCGGCCAGACCAGCTTTTCCCCAGGTCAATTCCAGAACAGCACACGCAGCAAGACTGCACCTTCTCCAGCCCAGCCCGGAGCTCAGTCCGTGGGCCACTGCCAACCCCCAGGCCCAGGCCCCGGCCGCCCCACTCCCTGGACGCGGACCCCAATCCAGCTGCGACAGGGACCCGAGTTTCGACAGAGCCTGCATCCTCCACCGGCCCTTCTTACCGAAGCCGGCTCGGCCATGGCGGTTCCGCACGAACCGGCCCTGCCTGGCACGGCCTCCCCTCCGCTCCGCCCCAACCCAACTCCCAGGTACAGCCCTGCTGGCCCCCAAAGGCAGAGCCGGCCGGGCGCGGTGCATGCTGGGACTCGGCGCTCGGAAGCGGAAGCCGCTCCGCCCCATAGCGCCCCCTGCGGGCGGGAGGAGCGGCGCCGCCAGAGGGAGTCGGTCCTCAGAGGAGGGGCCCGGGCACCCTCCGTGCGGGCCGCAGCACGCCGGTCTTTGAGGGACCCTTGGACTCCCGGATCTGCATGCGAGGGATGCGGTCGAAGACGAGATGAGGGAGCTGACGGGAGGGGAAACGGAGGGGCAGGTGAACATGGAGAGAGCAGGAACAGGGAGAGAGTAGGGACAGCGACTGGGAGACGCGCTCCACAGAAACCCGGACTGAGAGGCAGCGAGAGGGTGAGAGTCCGGTGCTGTTCCTTCCAAAGCTGCCCCCAAGTCAGGGATGAGCTCGAGGGTTTCGTTTGTGAGGGGGTCCCGGGAATCCAGCGAGGCCGGGTAGGTGGTGGGGGGCGCGCGGTGGCCCGGGGTGTCCGTCCCGCCGGGGGCGCGGAGGCCGTGTGGGCCCCGGGCATGTCCCGTCGGGGACGCGGAGGAGGGGTCCGCCCACCACGTCCGGTCCCCGTGGGTGCAGCGCCCTTCTGGGCTCCCCGAGCGTCCACACTCCCTCCTTGGCAGAGAAAGGCCTCGGGCAGAGACCCCATGCGGAAGCCACCCCGGCCTCGGGGCCGCCTGCGGGGACTCAGGGTCGCCCAGGGATGCGGGCCGGGCACCCCTAGCCCCCGGCGGGAGACTGTGACAGAGCGGGAGAAGACGGAGGAGGCCATGACACAGGGCGTGAGAAACACGAAGACGCAAAAACGGGAGAGGTGGGAAGACGCAGAAGGGGAAACCAGGGAGAGACAGAAAGGAGAGAGAGGGCAAGGAAGGGGGTGGCGACTGTCCCCAGAAAATCAACCTCGCATTCTGTCCTAGTCATGTTTTAGGTGTCAGGCTAAAGTAACAAATGAAAAGTGTGTAGTTAGAAAGGATGTCCATGAGAAAGTAGTCCCTGCATAGGCTGAGGAGCGTGTGCACATCTGTATTTGTCCCGGAATCGTGAAATGTAGATGCACCTTACTGATTAAAGGGTTAAAAAAAAAAAACCTTACATTAAAACTAACGTTTCGGATGGGCGCGGTGCCTCACGCCTGTAATCCCAGCACTTTGGGAGGCGGAGGCGGGCGGATCACGAGGTCAGGAGAGCGAGACCATCCTGGCTAACGGCGAAACCCCGTCTCTACTAAAAATACAAAAAAAAAAAAAAAAAAAATAGCCGAGCGTTGTGGCGGGCGCCTGTAGTCCCAGCTCCTAGGGAGGCTGAGTCGGGAGAGTGGCGTGAACCCGGGAGGCGGAGCTTGCAGTGAGCCGAGATCGCGCCACTGCACTCCAGCCTGGGCGACAGAGGGAGACTCCATCTCAAAAAAACCAAAAACAAACAAACAAAAAAACTAACGTTTCTTTGGGTGTAAAGTTCTATGAATTTTCACATATGTATGTATACGTGTAGTAACCACTGTAACCAGGATACGGAAGAGCCCTGTCCCACCCTGAAACTCCTTGTGCTGCCATTCTCTTCTGTGCTTCATTTGCTTTATGGTCACTCCCTCCGACACCTGGATCCTTGGCAAGGACTGATCTGCTCTTGAAACCTAGTTTTCTCTTTTTAGAAATGGTATATAAATGGAATCATACAGTATGATATAACCTTTTGTGACTGGCTCCTCAAAAGCGTAATGCTTTTGTGATTCATCCATGTTTACGAAGAGTCAAACTGTAAAATATTTAGAAGTTTATTCTGAGCCAAATATGAGTGAGGAAGGCCAAGGTACTGTCTGAAGAGGTCCTAAGAACATGTATCCAAGGTGGTTGGGTTACAGCTTGATTTTACACGTTTTGGGAAGACTTAAGACATCAGTCAATACATGTAAAGTGTACACTGGTTCTGTCAGGAAAGGCGGGACAACTCCAAGCGGTGCTTACAGGTCACAGGCGGATTCAGCGATTTTCTGATTGGCAATTGGCTATCTGAAGACCAGGTTCATAGAAAGGAGTGTCTGGGTTAAGATAAGGGGTTGTGGAGACCAAGATTCTTAGGATGTCTCATAGTGACTGTCTTTAGATGGCAAAAATTTCCTATTTAAACCTTTAAAAGGTGCTAGATTCTCTGGCCGGGCGCAGTAGCTCACGTCTGTAATCCCAGCACTTTGGGAGGCTGAGGCAGTAGGATTGCCTGAGCACAGGAGTTGAAGACCAGCCTGGGCAACATGGCGAAACCCCATCTCTACAGAAAATACAAGATTTTGTCAGCACAGTGGCAAAGACGTTAATCTCAGCTATTTGGGAGGCAGAGGTGGGAGGATTACTTGAGCCTGGGAGGCGAAGGTTGCAGTGAGCACAGATTGTGCTGACACTACAGCCTGGGTGAGAGAGGAAGACAGAGGGAGACTCTGTCTCAAAAAAATAAAATAAAATAAAATAAAATTATATATATATATATATTGTTTGTTTGTTGGGTTTTTTCCAGACGTAGTCTTGCTCTGTTGCCTAGGCTGGAGTAGAGTGGTGTGATCTTGGCTCACTGCAACCTCCGCCTCCCAGGTTCAAGCGATTCTCCTGCCTCAGCCTCCCAAGTAGTTGGGATTACAGGTATGTGCCACCACATTGGGCTAATTTTTGTATTCTTAGTAGAGATGGGGTTTCACCATGTTGGCCAGGCTAGTCTTCAACTCTTGACCTCGTGATCCACCTACCTCGGCCTCCCAAAGTGCTGGGATTACAGGCATGAGCCACTGTGCCTGGCCCTATATTTTCATATAAATATATAATATATACTGCAAAGAAGCATATTTGGGGATAAAATATTTTGATTTCCTTCTTTGTCATGCAATGTTATGCCAGAGTCAGGTTGGAAACTAAGCGGTTATATAGGGTTAAATAAAACCCTTCTGGTGAGATTTTTATAGTTTGTAGGGCATGATTTCCTATGTCCCTTAGTTAGAAATTTGGACAAGAAAGGAAAAAAGGTCACAATTTAGTTGGTATCCATATCATTGTGTGTGAAAACAGTTTATTTTATTTATTTTTTATTGTTATTTTTTTGAGACGGAGTCTTGCTCTGTTGCCCAGGCTAGAGTGCAGTGGCTCGATCTTGGCTCACTGCAACCTCCACCTCCCAGGTTCAAATGATTCTCCTGTTTCAGCCTCCCGAGTAGCTGGGACTACAGGTGCATCCCACCACACCCAGGTAATTTTTATATTTCTAGTAGACACAGGGTTTCACCATATTGGTCAGGCTGTTCTCCAACTCCTGACCTCAGGTGATCCACCCACCTCGGCCTCCCAAAGCGCTGGGATTACAGGCATGAGCCACTGCGCCTGGCCTACAACAGTTTTATTTTAATTGCTGATAGTATTCCATGTTATGATATACTGAAGAGTATTTATCCATTGAAGGATATTTGTATTTTTTCCGTTTTATTATTTTTTATACTTATTTGTTTATTTATTTATTTATTTTTTGAGATGGAGTTTTGCTCTTGTTGCCCAGTCTGGAGTGCAATGGAGTAATCTCAGCTCACCGCAACCTCCGCCTCCCAGGTTCAAGCGATTCTCCTGCCTCAGCCTCCCTAGTAACTGGGATTACAGGCATGTGCCACCACGCCTGGCTATTTTGTATTTTTGGTAGAGACGGGGTTTCTCCATGTTGGTCAGGCTGGTCTCGAACTCCCAACCTCAGGTGATCTGCCTGCCTCAGCCTCCCAAAGTACTGAGATTACAGGCATGAGCCACTGCACCCGGCCTATTTATTTATTTTTGAGATGGAGTCTCACTCTGTTGCCCAGGCTGGAGTGCAGTGGCATGATCTCGGCTCACTGCAACCTCCACCTCTGGGGTTCAAGCGACTCCCCCACCTCAGCCTCCTGAGTAGGTGGGATTACAGGTGCACACCACCCCACCTGGCTAATTTTTGTATTTTTAGTAGAGAAGGGGTTTCACCATGTTGGCCAGGCTGGTTTCAAACTCCTAACCTCAAGTGATCCGCCTGCCTTGGCCTCCCAAAGTGCTGGGATGACAGGAATGAGCAACTGTGCCCAGCCTTTTCCAAGTTTTGGAATTCTGAATAGAGCTGCTATAAACATTTGCATACAGGTTTTTGTGTGAAAATAAATTTTTATTTCTTTAAGGTAGATACCCAGGAGTGGGACTGCTGAGTCACGGTAAATATGTATATTTAATTTTACAAGGAACTAGCAAACCATTTTTAAGAGTGACTGTACTATTATGTGTTCCCCTTGTGAACGCATGAGAGTTCAGTTGGCCCACGTTCTTTATTTGGTATTTTTAGCATTTAAAAAAACCGTTAGACATTCTAATCAATGGTGGTGTTGCTGAAACACCAGGGGTTTGGTCTAGGTGCTGCTGTTTGTGGCTCAGAAAGCCAATCATGACAACAACAAGTGTTGCCAACGAAGAAGGCTTTAATTGGGTGTTACTGCTGAGGAGATGGGAGATGGGAGATGGGAGATCAGTCTCAAATCCATCTCCCTGACAGGCTAAAATGAGCGGCTTCTATTGCTGGGAGGAAATGTAACCATATGTGGAAAAACATGAATTGGTTAGGGGTAAGGAAGAGGGTTTGGTCAACAGGAAGCAGGTGGTGGGTTAGGCAATCATGATGGGTGAGGGGTCTGACTTTCATTGTCCAAATTCAGTGATCCTGTGAGTTTCAACTGGTTAATACTATCTGGGAGGCCTGATGGTTGCTTTCCTGAGAAAGGAACTCAGATAAGACAAATGTAACTGTCTCAAGTTTTAAGACTAAAAGGATCAGTTACTGTGTTTATTCAAAGAAACCATAAACATCAGTTCTATAGGGCAATTGGGTCTGTTTCAGTGTAGGGGTATCTCAATGTAGTTTTTATTTGGATTTCCCTAGTTGCTAATGATACAAAAAATTCTTATTACGTGCTAAATTGCCAACTTCTAGTTAAGTTTTTGTTCTTGCTCCTTGTCCATTTTTCAATTGCATTTTTCTCAGGTTGATAAATATGGACTTTTTATTAAGGAAAGATTTTACTATGGGCAATTCTTTTAACATATTAGAACAGGCTGGGTGTGGTGGCTCACACCTGTAATCCCAGCAATTTGGGAGGCAGAGGCTGATGGATCACGAGATCAGGAGATTGAGACAATCCTGGCCAATACGGTGAAACCCCATCTCTACTACAAATACAGAAATTAGCTGGGTGTGGTGGCGGACGCCTGTAGTCCCAGCTACTCGGGAGGCTGAGGCAGGAGAATTGCTTAAACCTTGGAGGCGTTGGTTGCAGTGAGCCAAGATCGGGCCACTGCACTCCAGCCTGGGCAACAAGAGTGAGACTCTGCCTCAAAAACAAAACAAAACAAACAAACAAAAAACATATGCAGAACAATGTAATAAGCCCCAGCCATAATCCAGCTTTGGAAACATTTAAAAATATATATTTTACTTAGCATTTCTATTGAATTTGAAGTAGCGGGGAGGGTTTCCTGTTTTAGCTTAGTCTATTATCCTAGTGGAAAATTCTTTGCTTTTGACACTTTTAAACAGTTTTAGACATTTTAAATATGTTCACACCTTCTTTGATAGCTACGCAGCATACCAATTTACCACAATTTATTCATCCAGTCCTCTACTAGACGTTTTGTTTATAGTCAAATTTTAGTTTATAGTCAAAAAGCATCAAGTATTGCTTTTGATGAATCTTACATTTGCAAATATATTTATAGAATACGTTCCTAGAAAAATATTGCTTGATCAAAAGGTCTACTTATTTATAATCGATACACTACTAAGTTGCTCAGAAGAGGTTATATCAATTTATTACTCCACCGACTTCCTTATATTCTCTCTCTCTTTTTTTTTTTTTTTTTTGAGACAGAGTCTTGCTCTGTCCCCCAGGCTGTAGTGCAATGCTGTGATCTTGGCTCACTGCAACCTCCACCTCCCAGGTTCAACTGATTCTCCTGCCTCAGCCTCCCGAGTAGCTGAGATTACAGGCATGTGCCACCACGCCCTGCTAATTTTGTATTTTTAGTAGATATGGGGTTTCTCCATGTTTGTCAGGCTGGTCTCGAACTCCTGACCTCATGTGATCTGCCCACTTCAGCCTCCCAAAGCGCTGGGAATACAGGCATTAGCCACCCCGCCCGGCCTAGAGAACAGCTTTCTCTCTTTCGAGAGAGAGAGGCACCCGTATGGGACCTCTAGACCTCAGTGGAGTGCACCGGATTTTATAGGCAGGCTTGAGGAGGCGGTGTCTGATTTACCAGGGGCCCAGAGATGGGTTGGACCAGGTGGGACGTCTACATAGCATGAGAGGAAGCTGGCCACCCACCCTAATCTACTTAATGCAAATGAGCTTTCCACTGGGCCAGTGCCATGTTGTGTGCTCCCTACTGCACAAGTGGTTGGAAAGAAAAACAGAAGATGGAAAGAAAAACAGAAGATGGAGCCGCCATTTTAAACACACCTAGTCTCTGGTAGCCTTTTCTGATTGACACAACTGCCAGCATTCACCTGTGCAAGCTTCCGCTTGCTTGTGTATGTCTGCAGCTCATTTTTACAGGCTCCTTGTTAGAAAGTAAAATGATTTTGGGGCTGCTTTTTATTAAAAGGAAAGCTTTACCGATGACTTCCTTACCCTCACTATCTGCCTAAATAATTTCTTTTTAACTCCTATATCAGCGGTGAGGACAACCAGAGGTCACTCTGATTGCCATCTTGGTTTTGGTAGGTTTTAGGCTGGCTTCTTTAGTGCAACCTGTTTTATCAGTAAGGCTTTTTTTTTTTTTCTTGATAGAGTTTCACCCTGTAGCCCAGGGTGGAGTGCAGTGGCACAATCTTGGATCACTGCAACTTCCGCCTCATTGGTTCAGGCGATTCTCCTGCCTTAGCCTTCCAAGTAGCTGGGATTATAGGCTTGCCACCACACCCAGATAACTTTTGTATTTTTAGTAGAGATAGGGTTTCACCATGTTGGCTAGGCTGGTCTGGAACTCCAGGGCTCAAGTGATCTGCCCACCCCAGCCTCCCAAAGTGCTGGGATTATAGGCATGAGCCACTGTGCCAGGCCATCAGCATGGTCTTTATGACCTGTATGTTGTGCTGACTTCCTATCTCTTCCTGTGATTTAGAATGCCTTAACCATCTGGGAATGCAGCCCAGCCTCATTTTACCCAGCCCCTATTCAAGATGAAGTTGCTACAGTTCAAAGGCTTTTGACAAAGTGATCTGCCTGCCCCAGCTTCCCAAAGTTCTGGGATTACAGGGGTGAGCCACTGCACCTGGCTTTTGGTTATTTTTGTGTTTTTTAAATATATATATATATATATATATATACATATATATGTGTGTATATATATATACACACATATATATGTATATATATATTTGTTTTTTGTGACCTTCAGATTTTTTTTTTTTGTTTTTTTGAGACGGAGTTTTGCCCTTGTGCAAGCTGGAGTACAATGGTATGATCTCGGCTCACCGCAACCTCTGCCTCCTGCGTTCAAGCGATTCTCCTGCCTCAGCCTCCCGAGTAGCTGGGATTACAGGCATGCGCCACTGTGCCCGGCTAATTTTGTATTTTTAGTAGAGACGGAGTTTCTCCATGTTGGTCAGGCTGATCTCGAACTCCTGACCTCAGGTGATCTGCCCGCCTTGGCTTCCCAAAGTGCTGGGATTACAGGCATGAGCCACCGTGCTTGGCCATGCTGTTTTTGTCTTTTTTTTTTTTTTTTTGAGACGGAGTTTCGCTCTTGTTGCCCAGGGTGGAGTGCAATGGTGTGATCTCGGCTCACTGCAACCTCTGCCTCCCAGGTTCAAGCAATTCTCCTGCCTCAGCCTCCCAAGTAGCTGGGATTACAGGCACCCGCCACCACGCCCAGCTAATTTTTTTGTTTTTTTGTTTTTTTTGGATTTTTAGTAGAGACGGGGTTTCACCATGTTGGCCAGGCTGGTCTTGAACTCCTGATGTCAGGTAATCCAACCCCCCTCCCCACCGGCCTCCCAAAGTGCTAGGATTACAGGTGTGAGCCACCACGCTCAGCCCGTTTTTGTCTTTTTGATATGAGATCTCATTCTGTTGCCCAGGCTGGAGTGCAGTGGTGTGATAATAGCTCACTGCAGCCTCCACCCTCTGGGCTCAAGATGCTCCCACCTCAGCCTTTCAAAGTTTGGGGACTACAGATGTGAGCCACAGCATCCCATCCATTATATTCTTAATGATCTCTCTGTACAACTTAAAGTTTATTTTTTCAACTCTGAGTACTTTTAAAGATATATTAACTAGACATTAGATAATAGGTAAAAGAGTAACACCTAATCATTTATTATTTGTTTAGAGATGGAGTCTCACTCTGTTGCCCAGGCTGTTTTTTTTCCTTCAGCACTTTTATTTTTATGTTTTTGGACAGAGTCTGGCTCTGTCGCCCAGGCGGGAATGCAGTGGCGCAATCTTGGCTCACCGCAACCTCTGCCTCCCTGGTTCAAGCAATTCTCATGCCTCAGCCTCCCAAGCAGCTGGGACTACAGGCACACACCACCACGCCCAGCTAATTTTTGTATTTTTAGTAGAGAAGGGGTTTCATCATGTTGGCCAGGCTGGTCTGGAATCCCTGGGCTCAGGTGACCTGCCCAGCTCGGCCTCCCAAAATGCTGGGATTACCACCTGACCTCATTTATTATGTTAAAGACTGTTAGAGATAATGCTGATTGCAATAACCACATTAACAAAGCCTAGTTGAAGAAGGCAGGCATTTGAAAGTGGTTTATTTTCTTATTCAGTTTTGACAGTTCTTAATTTATTCTGAATGTAAGTCCTTTGTTGGATATATGATTAGTAAATATTTTATCCTGGCCAACACGGTGAAACCCCGTCTCTACTAAAAATACCAAAAAAATAGCCGGGCGTCGTGGCAGGTGCCCGTAGTCCCAGCTACTTAGTAGGCTGAGGCAGGAGAATGGCATGAACCTGGGAGGTGGAGCTTGCAGTGTGCCGAGATCGCGCCACTGCACTCCAGCCTGGGTGACAGAGCAAGACTCTGTCTCAAAAAAAAAAAAAAAAAAAAAAGAAAGAAAGAAAAAAAGAAAGCTTTAATTTTAAGTGGGAGCTAAGCTATGAGGACGCAAAGTCATAAGAATGATATAGTGGACTATGGGGACTTGGGAAGACTGGGAGCAGGGGTGAGGGATAGAAGACTACACACTGGATGCTGCTGCGTACACTGCTTGAGTGATGGATGCACCAAATCCCAGATATCACACCTGGAGAACTTATCCATGTCGCTAAACACTACCTGTTCCCCAAAAACTATTAGAATAATAATAATAGTCCGGGTGCGGTAGCTCACACCTGTAATCCCAGCACTTTGGGAGGCTGAAGCAGACAGATCACTTGAGGTAAGCAATAGTTGAAGATCAGCCTGGCCAACATGGTGAATCCCAGTCTCCACTAAAAATTCAAAAATTAGCTGGGCATGGTGGTGCGCGCCTGTAGTCCCAGCTACTCAAGAGGCTGAGCATGAGAATCACTTGACCCCAGGAGGCGGACGTTGCAGTGAGCCAAGATCATGCCATTGCACTCCAGCCTGGGAGACGGAGACTACGTCTCCAAAAACTAATAACAATAATAATAATAATAAAGCTTTAATTTTGATTAAGTCCAATTTGTACTTTGTTGCTTTTTGTGGATTGGGGTTTTGGTATCATGTGTAAGAACTCTGCCTAATTCAAGGTCATAAATATTTGGTTTTGTTCTAGAAATTTCCTAGTTTTATGTTTTAAATTTATTTATTTATTTATTTATATGTTTATTTATATTCCCCTATTTAAAGCTTTTAATTTAAAAGTAAAATTTAATGTCAAAAATGCAAACTTGGGGAGGGCGTAAAAATCACACTCAAGGCTGCCACCTCACACTTAGAGGGTTGCAGAGCGGCCAGGCAGAGGCGCTCCTCACTTCCCAGACTGTGGGGCGGCCGAGCAGAGGCACTCCTCACTTTTTAGACAGTGCAGCTGCCAGGCAGAGGTGCGCCTCACTTCCCAGACGGGTTGGCGGCCGGGCAGAGGTGCTCCTCACTTCCCAGTTTAAATTTATATCTGTTATCTGTTTTTATTTACTTTGTGTAAAAAGTGTAAGAGTTGGGTTCAGGTTCATTTTTTTGCATATGAAAGTCCAATAGTTGAGACACAATTTGTTGAAAAACTTTTTCTATCTTCATTTAAGTGCTTTTTTTTTCTTTTTTGAGATGGAGTCTTACACTGTCACCCAGGTTGGAGTGCAGTGGCATGATCTAGGCTTACTGCAACCTCTGCCTCCTGGGTTCAAGGGATTCTCCTGTCTCAGCCTCCCATGTAGCTGGGATTACAGGCGCCCGCCACCACACCCAGCTAATTTTTTAATATTTTTAGTAGAGACAGGATTTCACTGTGTTGGCCAGGCTGGTCTCGATCTCCTGACCTCGTGATCCACCTGCCTTGGCCTCCCAAAATGCTGCGATTACAGGCGTGAGCCACCGCGCTGGGCCTTTTTTTTTTTTTTTTGAGACCGAGTTTTGCTCTTGTGGCCCAGGATGGAGTGCAATGGCATGGTCTGGGCTCACCACAACCTTCACTTTCTGGGTTCAAGTGATTCTCTTGCCTCAGCCTCCCAAGTAGCTGGGATTACAGGCACCCACCAGCATGCCTGGCTAATTTTTGTATTTTTAGCAGAGACGGGGTTTCACCATGTTAGCCAAGCTGGTCTTGAACTCCTGACCTCAGGTGATCCTCCCACCTCAGCCTCCCAAAGTGCTGGGATTACAGGTGTGAGCCACCATGCCCGGCCCATTGAATTGCTCTTACACCTCTGTAAAAAGTCAGTCGTCCAAATTTGTGTGGGTTTATTTTTAGATTCTTGTTTTATTGATCCATGTGTCTATCCCTTCCCCAATATGACATGCTCATGATTACTGTAGCTTTGGAGGAGTGTTGAGAGTAGACATCCTTGCCTTTCTCAATCTGAGGGGAAGCCATTTAGTCTCACTGTTGAGTATGACGTTAACTGCATACTTTTCTTTTAACACAGAGTCTTGCTCTTTCCTGCAGGCTGGAGTGCAGTGGCGTGATCTCGGCTCACTGCAACCTCTGCCTCCCTGGTTCAAGCAATTCTCCCGCCTCAGCCTCCTGAGTAGCTGGGATAACATGCGTGCACCACCATGTCCGGCTAATTTTTGTATTTTTAGTAGAGACGGGTTTTCACCATATTGGTCAGGCTGGTCTTGAACTCCTGACCTCGTGATCCACCTGCCTTGGCCTCCCAAACTGTTGGGATTACAGGCGTGAGCCACTGTGCCTGGCATGTAGATACTTTTTATCATGTTGTGCTAATTCCCTTTCATCCCTAGTTTTGTGAGAGTTTTTATTGTGAGTAAATGTGAATATTTGTTTTGTCAAATCATTTTTCTGCATTTATGGGCAAGCACAATCACTTACATGTATTTAGTTGTGAAAAACTGGAACCTAAACGTATAAATAAGTCGGAAGCATCCATAAGATGAAATATGTAGACATTAAATTTATGTTTTCGAAAAATATTTGGCTGGGCGCAGTGGCTCACGCCTGCAATCCCAGCACTTTGGAAGGCCGAGGCGGGCGGATCACCTGAGGTCGGGAGTTCAAGACCACCCTGACCAATATAGAGAAACCCCATCTCTACTAAAAATACAAAAAATTAGTTGCGCATGGTGGCGCACGCCTGTGATCCCAGCTACTCGGGAGGCTGAGGCAGGAGAATAGCTTGAACCCGGGAGGCAGAGGTTGTGATGAGCTGAGATCAGGCCATTGCACTCCAGCCTAGGCAATAAGAGCGAAACTCTGTCTCAAAAAAAAAAAGAAAAAAAAAAAGAAAAAAATTTAATGCTATGCAAGATATTCAAGTATATTAAATAACAAAGGCAGGTTTCAAAACAGTATTTATGGCTGGGTGCAGTGGCTCACGCCTGTAATTCCAGCACTTTGGGAGGCCGAGGTGGGTGGATCACCTGAGATCAGGAGTTCGAGACCAGCCTGGACAACATGGCGAAATACCATCTCTACTAAAAATACAAAAATTATCTGGGCGTGGTGGTGCACGCCTGTATCCAGCTACTCTCAGGAAGCTAAGGCAGGAGAATCGCTACAATCCAGGAGGCAGAGGTTGCAATGAGCCGAGATCGTGCCACTGCACTCCAGCCTGGGTGACACAGTGAAACTCCATCTCAAAAACAAAACAAAACAAATCAAAAAACAGTATTTACAGTTTCAACTGTATTAAGAAAATAAATAAATATTGTGTGTGTGTATACATATATATATTTATATAAAAGAAGCTCACAAAGATAAGAACCAAAATGCTTCGAGTGATTGTCTCTGGATTGTATGATTATATGTGGCCTTTGTCTTTATACAACCCTGTATATTTCAAATATTCTGCAAAGCACAGAAAAGTAATAATAAATGTGCTCACTGCAGCCTCAACCTCTGGGGTTCAATTGATCCTCTCATCTCAGCCTCCTGAGTAGCTGGGACTACAGGTGCATGCCACTATGCCCAGCTAATTTTTTTTTTTTTTGAGACGGAGTCTTGTTCTGTCACCAGGCTGGAGTACAGTGACGCATCTTGACTCACTGCAACCTCTGCCTCCCAGGTTCCAGCAATTCTCCTGCCTCAGCCTCCAGAGTAGCTGGGACTACAGGAGCACGCCACCACGCCCAGCTAATTTTGGATTTTTAGTAGAGACGGGGCTTCACCATGTTGACCAGATGGTCTTGATTTCTTGACCTCCTCGTGATCCGCCCACCTCGGCCTCCTAAAGTGCTGGGATTATAGGCACAAGCCACTGCGCCCAGCCAATTTTTTTTTTTTAAGTTTTAATTTTTTTTGTAAAGATGGGGTCTCACAATGTTGCTAAGCTGGTCTTAGACTCCTAGGCTCAAGTGATTCTCTCATCTGGGCCTCCTAAAGTGCTGGGATTATAGGCATAAACCAGTGTACCTGGTCTATTGTTACTGTGTGAATACCTACTTTTAAATTTAGGTATTCTAAATTCCAAATGTAACTTAAAGTATTAAATCTAATGATGTGCCGGGCGCGGTGGCTCACACCTGTAATCCCAGCACTTTGGGAGGCTGAGGCGGGCACATCATGACGTCAGGAGTTCGAGACCATCCTGGCCAACATGGTGAAACTCCGTCTCCACTAAAAATACAAAGATTAGCTGGGCGTAGTGGCACATGCCTGTAGTCCTAGCTACTTGGGAGGCTGTGGCAGGAAAATCACTTGAACCCGGGAGGCGGAGGTTGCAGTGAGCGAGATCAGCCACTGCACTCCAGCCTGGCAACAGATAAATAAATAAATAAAAATTTGGCCGGGCGTGGTGGCTCACGCCTGTAATCCCAGCACTTTGGGAGGCTGAGATGGAGGGATCACGAGGTCAGGAGATCGAGACCATCCTGGCTAACACGGTGAAACCCTGTCTCTACTAAAAATACAAAAAATTAGCCGGGCGTGGTGGCGGGCACCTGTGGTCCCAGCTCTACTCAGGAGGCTGAGACAGGAGAATGGCGTGAACCCAGGAGGCAGTGAGCCGAGATTGCGCCACTGCACTCCAGCCTGGGCAACAGAGCGAAATCCATCTCAAAGAAAAAAATAATAAAATAAAATAAAAATTTAAAAATAATAAAAGTAAAATCTGATGATGTGCTTTAATGTTCAAATCCTAGCAGTCAGTTGAAGTATATATGAATATATATTTAATACTGCAAAAGTAAAATGCTATAATAATTATTGAGGATTACGAAAGATGTTATTTTATGTAATAAACAGGAACTTTCAAATAGTTACATACATTGACAGTATATTTAGAGCGTGTTATCTAGATAACTTTAGAAAGAACATTATGTTCTTTTTGAGCCTACAGATGTTTATAAAAATATAATTCTACCATAGGGAAAGAGAATTAACATTAGACATAATAATTCTAGTTACTATGGAATTATTTTGCACAGTTGCATTCATAACAGTACATAAAATACTTTTTTTTTTGAGACAGAGTCTCGCTCTGTTCCTCAGGCTGGTGTGCAATGGCACCATCTCAGCTCACTGTAATCTCTGCCTTCCAGGTTCAAGCGATCCTCCTGCCTCAGCCCCCTAGTAGCTGGGATTACAGGCAAGTGCCACTATGCCCGGCTAACTTTTGTATTTTTAGTAGAGACGGGGTTTCATCATGTTGGCCAGGCTGGTCTCAAACTCCTGACCTCGGGTGATCCACCCGACTCGGCCTCCCAAAGTGTTGGGATTACAGGCGTGAGCCACCACGCCAGGCCCATAAAACACCCTTTAGAAACGAATGTTTAACAATTTTGTTCCATTCTGTCCTTTCAAAAAAAAAAAGATCCCTGGCTGTGCGTGGTAGCTCACACCAGGAATCCCAGCACTTTGGGAAGTCAAGGCAGGAGCATCCCTTGAGCCCAAGAGTTGGAGACCAGCTTGGGCAACATAGCAAGACCTTCTCTCTACCAAAAATTTAAAAGTTAGCCAGGTGTAGCAGGGTGGGCCTGTAGTCTCAGCTACTTGGGAGGCTGAGACGGGAGAATTGCTTAAGCCAAGGAGGTCAAGGCTGCAGTGAGTCATGCTTGTGCCACTGCACTCCAGCCTGCGCGACAGAGGCACAGCCTGTCTCAAAAAAAAAAAAAAAAAAAAAAAATCCCTATTTGGTAATTTTTCACACATTAGGGAGAAAAAAGCAGTGTCAACTTGGTCACCTCAAAATTTCACAAGGAGGGAGAATCTCATCTACAACACATATATGATAAATCATCTTTAAATCATCTTTGAGTCATGATTAAAAATTTTTTTAAAAGAGAGTATGAAGAAAAAGAGAAAGTTTAGATTAAAATGGGGCACTCCAAATACAACTGTTCTCTCTAATCCACAGACTTTTTTTTTTTTTTTTGAGACAGAGTTTCGCTCTTGTGGCCCAGGCTGGAATGCAATGGCACAATCTTGGCTCACTGCAACCTCTGCCTCCTGGGTTCAAGCGATTCTTCCATCTCAGCCTCCCGAGTAGCTAGGATTACAGCTACTTTTCTTTTTTTTCTTTTTTTTTTTTTTTTGAGACGGAGTCTCACTCTGTAGCCCAGGCTGGAGTGCAGTGGCATGAACTTGGCTCACTGCAAGCTCCGCCTCCCGAGTTAATGCCATTCTCCTGCCTCAGCCTCCTGAGTAGCTGGGACTACAGGCGCCCGCCACCACGCCTGGCTAATTTTTTGTATTTTTAGTAGAGACGGGGTTTCACCGTGTTAGCCAGGATGGTCTGGATCTCTTGACCTCGTGATCCACCTGCCTCGGCCTCCCAAAGTGCTGGGATTACAGGCATGAGCCACTGTGCCCGGCCTAATTTTTGTATTTTTGTAGAGATGGGGTTTCACCATGTTGGCCAGGCTGGTCTTGAACTCCTGACATCAGGTGATCCACCCACCTCAGCCTCTCAAAATGCTGGGATTACAGGCGTGAGCCACTGCGCCCGGCCCTAATCCACAGACTTTAGAGCATGCTTTTAGTAAGACAAGTTATCATAGGTTGGCATCCATGAAGGCTGTTTTTGTTTAAGACAGGGTCTCGCTTTGCCACTCAGGCTGGAATGCAGTGGCACAGTCATGGCTTACTACAGCTCCAAACTCCTGGGTTCAAGCAATCCTCCCACCTCGACCTCCCAAAGTGTTGAGATTACAGAGGTGAGTCACCGTGCCTGGACTAATGTTTTTAGAGCTTGTAGAGATAATTGCTATAGACTGGTAACCATTTTCGGTTGAGATTTCCCCAAGATCTTATTCTAAATATTGATTTATTTTAGGAAACATTCCTAAAATATTTTTCCTGATTCATTTTCTGCTGTGCACCAAAAGGTTAATGAAATATTAAAAATGCTGCAATAAAATATTGAAAATGTCTTATATACCAGATATATACTGTATATATCTGTATATGTACCAGATACTGTATATATCTGGTATATAAGATATTTGGGGCTGGGAGTGGTGGCTCACGCCTGTAATCCCAGCACTTTGGGAGGCCGAGGCGGGCGGATCACGAGGTCAGGAGATCGAGACCATCCTGGCTAACACGGTGAAACCCCGTCTCTACTAAAAATACAAAAAATTAGCCGGGCGTGGTGGCAGGCACCTGTAGTCCCAGCTACTCGGGAGGCTGAGGCAGGAGAATGGCGTGAAGCCTGGAGGCGGAGCTTGCAGTGAGCCAAGATCGCGCCACTGCACTCCAGCCTGGGCAACAGAGCGAGACTCCGTCTAAAAACAAACAAACAAACAAAAAACCAGATATTTGGATATGAAGAATCACGCTTAACTTTTTATGTTTGACCATACAGAGGAGCAATTATTAATTCAACTGGGTTTCCATTTTCCCTACTTAATGAAAAATTCCTAGGTCTCAGTGAATCTGACTTTGAGAAAAATTTGTGGAATGTAAAATCAGTAAACGGAAACGCACGAACGTCGAATTTCCCATGGAAAAATACAGTAAAGGCTATGAGCACAAGCACACTATAGTTTGTTCCCATCTTCAGTTTTACATTCAGAAAACAGGTATAGCTTCATGTATGTTATTTTATTGATCGATGATTGATTAGTATAGTGGCATGATCTCGGCTCCCTGCAAACTCAACCTCCCAGGCTCAGGTGATTCTCCCACATCTAGCTTAATGTATTAATGATGTAATAGACAATTACTGGCCAGGCGCGGTGGCCAGAGCGAGACTCCATCTCAAAAAAGAAAAGAAAAGAAAATTACTGGCGGCAAGCAGGAACATTGTAGATTTTGAAACTGTCTTGTTTTACAAGATACTGAAGCAAGGTGGTGCAATTATTACGTCCTTCTAAAGCTGATCGGATAAAGGCTTTAATTTTGTAATTTTCAGAGAATATTACCAATGTAGCAAGATTTACCAATAACCAATGGTTGCTTGAAGACAAAAGAGTTTGTTGGAACTTGCTGAATAAATTGATGTGCCATCAGTGTATTTTTTACATCATACATGCTGAAAAAAATCTGTCCTTGATTCTGTGCAAAGGAAGATGCTGAAATTGGTGTGCATATGCAGGGAAAGTCAAGATGCAGATGGAAACTGGGATTATTTTGTTAACTCAAAAACCAATTGGCAGGGTGCGGTGGCTCACGCCTGTAATCCCAGCACTCTGGGAGGCCGAGGTGGGCAGATCACCTGAGGTCAGTAGTTCGAGACCAGCCTGGCCAACATGGTGATACCTCGTCTCTACTTAAAATACAAAATTAGCCCCCATGGTGGCGCATGCCTGTAATCCCAGCTACTTGGGAGGCTGAGGCAGGAGAATCACTTGAACCCGGGAGGCAGAGGTTCCAGTGAGCAGAGATTGCGCCATTCCACTCTAGTCTGGGCAACAAGAGTAAAAACTCCATCTCAAAAAACAAACAAACAACCCCCCAAAAAAGCCAATTAAATTGTTTCATAGTCACATTTCTAGATCCAAACTTTTAGGACAATTTTTTTCTCTAGTGATTATGTATAGCAGCAAGAGCAGACAAAAATATTATAAATTAAAAATAAGTTAGTACAACAACCTTACATCTGCTTCTGAAAATATTGTGCATCTTCTTTAAACAGTACACAAAAAGCTTCAGTCAGTGAAATTGCTTAATGAAATGCCAGTACCATCCAAAGAATTTTTAAGGCCAAGAATTAAATAGGAAGAATTTCTTGTCTTAATATATTCCTATTCAAGGAAGGAACATTTAATAAGTTGGTGGTAATATTACCATATTAAAGCAGAGAGGTAGCCTTGCTTTCTATGGAGCTCAGTTGGAAGTCTTATTTAGTAATACAAATGTCCCTGTTAAATGGCCATAGGAGCATCTGACAGAAATTGTTGTTCTTGCCTTATAACATCAAACTTGAAAACTTTACTACTTTTTTTTTGGAGATGGGATGTCAGTCTGTCGCCCAGGCTGGAGTGCAGTGGTATTATTACAGCTCACTGCAGCTTCAACCTCCCTGGCTCAAGTGATCTTACCTCAGCCTCCCGAGTAACTGGGTCGACAGGTGTGCATTACCATTTCAGGCTAATTTTTGTATTTTTTTATGGAGACAGGGTCCCACCAGGTTGCCCTGACTGGCCTTGAATTCTTGGGCTCCAACAATCTACCCACCTCGGCCTCCCACTGTGCTCGGCTACTACATTTTTTTTTTTCTTTTTTGAGATGGAGTTTCACTCTTGTTTCCCAGGCTGGAGTGCAATGGTGCAATCTCCGCTCACTGCAACCTCCTCCTCCTAGGTTCAAGTGATTCTCCTACCTCAGCCTCCTGAGTAGCTAGGATTATAGGCACCCACGACCACGCCCGGCTAGTTTTTCTATTTTTAGTAGAGATGGGGTTTCACCGTGTTGTTCAGGCTGGTCTCCAACTCCTGACCTTAGGCGATCCACCCACCTCGGCCTCCCAAAGTGCTGGGATTATAGGCGTGAGTCACCGTGCCCGGCTTCTCGGCTACTACATTTTAAATAATAAAATTATACAACAGAATTTTCTTTCCAAGAAAATTCAGATTATTATTTTTTTGTAATCTACTCATATTGTGAGTCAGAGAATGGCAATTTTCATTATTAAGCATTCACCATCTGACAAATATGTATATTCAGGTAAATCCCAAATTACGGACTGCATATGTAGCCACAGGCGAAAAGTAACTTAGTCTGCTCAAGAGCAGTTGCCCCAACAGGATAGTTCTCATACTTTTGTGATTTACAGATAGTTATACTGTTATGGGCATTGACTTGATTCATGTGTTGAAATACAGGTTTAGCAGGGTTTGATTCATACATGTTTGAAATGAAGACTTCCTGGAAAACCAGGGTCATGTGCTTATCCTATCACCACACACATGAAACCGCCCCAACAGGGTTCACAAAAATTGCATGCAGGTTCTGGACAGAAATATAGTTATAATTAAGCATTAATCAGGCTGCACTTCGGCCTACTTCCTTGTTGCTAATAGTCACAAGGCACTAGATACTGACATTTGCATCTCTATTGTTCCTATAGATAGGATTTCAGACATCAGACTAAGAATTGATTTGCATCCCTGTTGTTCCTGTAGACAGGATCTCTGACATTAGAATCATAAGGCTTTTGTTTAAGGATCGCTTAAGATGTTTTTCAGACCACGAGTTCCGGTGAAACAGTTGAGTTCAACCAGTTTGAAGACCCCCCACAGAGGAATGGGATGAGCATGAGAATGTAGTTTCTTCATCTCCTTGTACCACGATTTCACCAGCACTCTCCCACCAATCAGTCAACTCCATTACCCTTACAAACTCTAACCCCAAATTCCCAAATTCCTAGCAGAGATGGATGTGAGGCTTCTTCCTGTCTCCTCCTTAGGTGGCCCTATGATTAGACCTCTTTCTCTGCTGCAACCTGGTGTCTCTGCATATAGACTTGCTATGTGCATTGGGCAAGGAACCTACTGCTGTTACACACACTCTGTTGACTTAAAACACAACCTCACCAGAAAACACTTTGTTCTCGCAGGTCCTTTTTTTTTTTTTTTTTTTTTAAGATGGAGTCTAGCTCTGTCGCCCAGGGTGGAGTGCAGTGCTGCCATCTCTGCTCACTGCAACCTCCGCCTCCTGGGTTCCAGCGATTCTCTTGCCTCAGCCTCCGGAGCAGCTGGAATATCAGGTGCACGACACCACGCCCGGCTAATTTTTGTATTTTTTAGTAGAGACGGGGTTTCACCATGTTGGCCAGGCTGGTCTGGAACTCAGGTGATCTGCCCGCCTCGGCCTCCCAAAGTGCTGGAATTACAGGCGTGAGCCACTGCGCTCGGCCTGTTCTCGCAGGTCCTTTTGCTCAGACGCAGCAAACCGTAACCCCAAGCTCGATCTCTGCTGCTCTCAGGAATTCCACTTCCTCCAGCTTGGGCAACATAGCGAGACCCTGTCTCTACAGAAAAATAAATAAGTAAATAAATAAATACAAATAAATAAAACATTAGCCGGGCTTGGTAGCTGCGCCTGTAGTCCAAGATGCTCGGGCAGGCTGAGGGGAAGGATCGTTTGAGCCCAGCAGTTTAAGGCTGCAGTGAGCCTTGTTTGTGCCACTTGCACTCCAGCCTGGACGACAGAGGGAGACTGTCTCTAAATAAATCAATAAATAAGGCCGGGCGCAATGGCTCACGCTTGTAATCCTAGCACTTTGGGAGGCCAAGGCGGGTGGATCATTTGAGGTCAGGAGTTTCAGACCAGCCTGGCCAACATGGTGAAACCCCGTCTCCACTTAAAAAAAAAAAAATTAGCTGGGCATGGTGGTACATGCCTGTAATCCCAGCTACTTGGGAGGCAAAGGCAGGAGAATCGGTTGAACCCGGAAGGCGGTTGCAGTGAGCCGAGATCCCGCCACTGCACTCCAGCCTGGGCGACGGAGTGAGACTCCGTCTCTAAATAAATAAATAAACAAAAATTAAGAATCCTATTTCCAGACCAGGCCCCGGAGAGTCAATAATCCGAGATGTGAAGGAGACCTTAAAATATTATTGATCCCAACACAGGCCGCGTGGGACCTGAACCGCCTCACCTTGGCAACCACATTTGTAATTTCCGCAAATGATCTATATCTTCTTCATTCCAAAATTGTGCCTCTCCGTCACTCATTCCACCCATAGGCTCCCTTCAGCCGTGTCCCCCTTACTCTCACCCTGCACATTTCCGCTGTTCTAAATACGGCTGCCCTTCAGCAGAAGCTGTTGCCTGCAGACGGCGCCTGCGTATCGAGCCTCCGTGAAGAAAATCACTCCCCAGAATGAGCCCGGCTTTGCGGCTGGGTCCTAAACTGCGGTGAGCTGAACCTTCTCGTGGGAATGTGAGAAAGCGGAACACACGTGGGCCCCAAATAACAACCCTCCCCACACCGAAGCCCAAGAGCTGGGGGGGAGGGGCGGAGGCGACGCGGGGGGCGCTGGCCGCAGGGGCCGGCAGGGGGCGCGCTGGCCGCGGTGGCTGGGCAGCGCGAGCCTGCGGCGCGTCTAGGCCCGCGCGGTTCCCGGTGCACTCGCTGCCCACAAAGCGCCAGCTGAGGGGCCGCTGCGGGTGGAGTGCGGCGGAGTCGGCCTCGCGACCCCAGCTTGATCCGCCGCCTGCTGCACCGCGCCTCCGCCGCGTTCCTGCGCGTCCCGAGCCCCGACGGCCGCGTGAGTCCCGTCCGTGCGGGGAAGGCAGGGCCGGGTCGGCGCCGCCTGTGGAGAGGACCCGGCGGCCGGGCCTGCTTGGAGCCGGGCGCGGTGGCAGCGGCGGCAGCGGCGGCGACTTCCGAGGCCCGGGCTAGACAGCGCAGGGCCATGGCTGAGGCGGCCCCGGCCCCGGTAAGGGCGGCCGCGCGCGAGTGTTGTGAGCCCCCGAGACCCAGACCCCGAGGGAGGAAGGCGGGCGGGCAGGGAGCTGCCAGGCATAGGCGCCGTTCTCGGGTCCCGCCGGCCACGTCGCCTGTCGCCCGTGCTTGGCGGCTGCAGCCTCGCGTGAGGGGACTTAGCGGGTGGGTGTGAAACCGCCCACCCGGGGACACCAGGCTGGGCCGCAGGTCTGAGGGGCACTCGCAGGCAGCTATGAGACCCGGGGCCCTGCAGTTGGGTTGAAGTCGAGGGGGTGCCTGCTGCGTGTCAGCCCCACGCCTGCCCGCCAGACGCGCAGCGGGGTTGGGCTGGGGAGCCGTCAGCCATTCTCGCGGCCGCGGGAGCGTTCGTCACCAGCAATCTGAGCGGTGGCGCGGGCGGCATTTAAGTGTGCGGAGGCGCATTCCCGCCGCGCTGCGTGACGCCTGGGCTCCCGGCACCGGACTCGGGACACGCGGGAGGCCCTCCCGAAATAGCTGCCGAATGAATGGTGCGGACCCGGAGGCTGGAGTGGCCTCGCGTGCGTGGCGGTTCATTCGCGGGTGTTTGCCAAGGCCTGCGGGGGCCGGCAGCGGCCAGTTGCCAGGGCGACCGAGGCGACCGGGCCGCGCCTGCACGCAGCCCCGTAGAATGAGAAGGGGACGGTCAGGCCGCGGGGAAAGCACTGATCGCATTTGCCACCCAAGAGGTCTTTGGTCACCTCTAGGAGAGCAATTGTACTGGGTCAGGAGCCACCCTGGCACATGAGGGGTGACTGGGAAAAGGAGGAAGAGCAGCGATGGGTAGGGGGTAGAGCAGAGGGAAGTGCCACCTCCACTCTTGGACCTGTTTTTCTTTTTTCCAACCTTTTTTTTTGTGTATAGGTGGGATGGTAGCGATGATCCTGTGTTGTGCCAGTCCTGGCTAATAGAAATATAAGGGAAGCCGCATACAAAACTCTAAATCAAGCTTGTCCAACCCGCGGCCCCCAGGCCGCATGCGGACTAGGACTGCTTTAAATGCGGCCCAACACAAATTCGTAAACTTTCCTAGAACATCATGAGATTTATGCACGGACCTTTTTCTTTGTCTTTTTTTTTTTTTTTTTTTTTTTTTTTTAGCTCATCAGCTATCATGATCAGTATTTTATGTGTGACCCAAGACAGTTCTTCCAGTGTGGCCCAGGGAAGCCAAAAGATTGGACACCCCTGCTTAAATTCTCTAGGCGTCACGTTTAAAAAGTAAAAAGCCAGGCGCTGTGTTGTGCACGCCTGTAGTCCCAGCTAGGCCGGGGGCTGAGGCGGAAGAATCACTTGAGTCCAGGAGTTCGAGGCAGTCCACACCGCGTCTCTAAAATAAAAAAAATTTTTGAGAAGTTAAAAAATAAATAGATGAAATTAATTTTAATTATATATCTAACTCAATATATGCAAAATATTATTTCAACATGTCATCAATTTATTTATTTATTTATTTTTTGAGGTGGAGTCTCACTCTGTCCCTCAGGCTGGAGTGCAGTGGCGCCATCTGGGCTCACTGCAACTTCTGCCTTGCCGGTTCAAGCGATTCTCCTGCCTCAGCCTCCCGAGTAGCTGGGACTACAGGCGCGTGCCACTACGCCCGGGTCCTTTTGTATTTTTAGTAGAGAGGGGGGTTTCACCGTGTTTGCCGGGATGGTCTCAATCTCCTGACCTCGTGATCCGCCCGCTGGGATCCAAAGTGCTGGGATTACAGGCGTGAGCCACCGCGCCCGGCCTCATGTAATCGATTTAAAACATTAATGGCCGGGTGTGGTGGCTCAAGCCTGTTATCCCAAGCACTTCAGGAGGCTGCCGTGGGAAGACAGCTTTAGCCCAGGAGTTGAAGACCAGCCTGGGCAACATAGGAAGACCCCATCTCTACAAAAAAAATTTTTTTTTTTAAATTAGCCAGGCGTGGTGGCATGCACTTGTACTCCCAGCTACTCAGGAGGTGGGAGGTGTTTGAGCCAGGGAGGTGGAGGCTGCAGTGAGCTGTGATCCTGCCACTGCCCTCCAACCTGGGCAACAAAGTGAAACCCTGTCTCAAGCAAACAAACAAATATTTTTTTCATACTAAGTCTTCAAAGTCTCGTGTATTTTATACTCATAGCACATCTCAATTTAACCACATTTCAGGTGCTCAGTGGCCACATGTAGGTAGTGGCTACTGTATTGAACAGTGCCAGTCCACCCTATGGAGAAGAATCAGGAGACAGATTGACACTAAGAAAGGAACAACCTACCCAAAAAGGTGGAAGGGGTTGGCATAAGTGAAGCAAATGTGGAGAGTTAAGATTTAAATAGGATGCAACTTCCTTAGGAAGTAAAGAAGAAAACTTAGATTCGGTTACTGATAAGTTTGAAGCAAGGAGTATGAAGAGAAAGTTGAATGAATTTAGGTCTGATTAATTTCCATCTCAAAGCAAGAGGACATGTCATCTTCTGAGAGTGGGGGCTGCAGCAGACAAGTCTTACTACTCAGTGTCAGCATCACCTGGGAATTTGTTAAAAATACAAAATCTCAGGCTGTGTACCATGGCTCACACCTGTAATCCCAGCACTTTGGGAGGCTGAGGCAGGTGGATCACTTGAGCTGAGTAGTTTGAGACCAGCCTAGGCAATATGGTGAAACCCTGTCTCTACCAAAAATACAAAAATTAGCAGGGCATGGTGGTGTGTGCCTGTGGTCCCGGCTACTCGGGAGGCTGAGATGGGAGAATCGCTTGAGCCCATGAGATGGAGGTTGCGGTAAGCTGAGATTACACCACTGCACTCCAGCCTGGGTGACAGTGAGACCTCATCCCAAAAAAACAAAAACAAAACCCAACAGAATCTCAGTTTTCCTTACAGACCTACTGAATAAAAATCTGTACTTTGACAAGATCTCCAGGTGATTCTTCCCCGCCTCCCGCGCCCCCCCGCCTCCCCTCCTGCCCTAGACAGAGTCTTGCTCTGTCACCATGCTGGAGTGCAGTGGCACGATTTCAGCTCACTGCAACTTCCGCCTCCTGGGTTCAAGTGATTCTCTAGCCTCAGTCTCCCGAGTAGCTGGGATTACATGGCTTGCCACCACACCCAGCTAATTTTTGTATTTTTTAGTAGAGATAGGGTTTCACCATGCTGGTCAGGCTGGTCTCAAACTCCTGACCTCAGGTGATCCACCTGTCTCAGCCTTGCAAAGTGCTGGGATTACAGGCATGAGCCACTGTGCCTGGCCCCTCCAGCTGATTCTTATTCATGTTAGTTTGAGGACAAACTGTACTAAAAGCTGAAGGACTGTGCTGAGGCTTTGTAGTAGCCACTTTATGGAATGGGACAAGCGGCATGGAGGGCACAAGTCAGTGTTGAGATCCCCACTAAGCTTAGAAACCATTGGTATGTGGTGACAGCAGTTTACCTGGTGATTTCCTCTAGGCACGCTTACTAATCTGCTTACAGGAATGGAGAAAGAATGATTGGACTGATTCAAGGCCGGAGGTTAGCTGAGCAGGTGAGGCAGAAAGACATGAGAGAAGGGGAGTTGGAAGTGACTGATGTGATCAATTAGAGAAAAAAAGCCAGGAACGGGCAGATACCAGGAGCAAATGGAATGGTCAAAGGACTAGGTGAAATGAGAATAAAGTAGTGGGTGAGTTGGAAAGATGGGAGGTTGTCGTCAGAGAGTGGCTTATCAGGTTCATAGAGTTAGAAGGCTTTGTATACATCATCCTAGTCCAACTTATTTGTTGTGGGAATTTTTTCCTTTTATACTACTCTTTGTTTCAAAGTAAATTATTTTGGAGCAGCCTTTTATTTTCTTGGAAAGATCAATAACCCAGGAGTTATAGGTTACAAGGAGCTATGGTCATGTCAGTGCACTCCAGCCTCGGTGACCCTGTCTCTAAAAATAAAAAAATAAAAAAAAAATTAAGCTATAGAAGACATCCTGAGGTGGCTGGTTTGCATGCAAGCCTATTTATTTATTCATTCATTCAACAAAAATTTCTTTCTTTTTTTTTCTTTTTTTTTTTTTGAGACTGAATCTCGTTCTGTCGCGTAGGCTGGAGTACAGTAGCAGAATCTTGGCTCACTGTAACCTCTGCCTCCTGGGTTCAAGCAATAAGTGGATAACATTTAAACTATCCATCTTAGACTTTAAAATCATATATAAAATAATGTGGCCGGGCACGGTGGCTCACGCCCGTAATGCCAACACTTTGGGAGGCCGAGGAGGGCGGATCACGAGGTCAGGCTAACATGGTGAAACCCCATCTCTACTAAAAATACAAAAAATTAGCTGAGCATGGTGGCACGCTCCTGTAGTCCCAGCTACTCGGGAGACTGAGGCAGGAGAATCGCTTGAACCCAGGCAGCGGAGGTTGCAGTAAGCTGAGATGGCACCACTGTACTCCAGCCTGGGCGACAGAGCGAGACTCTGTCTCAAGAAATAAATAATTAATTAATTAATAATGTGATTTCCCTTAAAGATTTCTTTTTTTTTTTTTTTGAGACGGAGTTTCACTCTGTCACCCAGGCTGGAGTGCAGTGGCGCGAAGTTGGGTTGCTGTAAGCTCCGCCTCCTGGGTTCACGCCATTCTGCTGCCTCAGCCTCCGAAGTAGCTGAGACTACAGGCGCCCGCCACCACGCCTGGCTAATTTTTTCTATTTTTAGTAGAGACAGGGTTTCACCGTGTTAGCCAGGATGGTCTCGATCTCCTGACCTCGTGATCCACCCCCTCGGCCTCCCAAAGTGTTAGGATTGCAGGCGTGAGCCACCGCGCCTGGCCTAGATTTCTTTTTTTTTTTTTTTCTGAGACGGAGTTTTGCTCTTATTGCCCAGGCTGGAATGCAATGATGCGATCTCGGCTCACTGAAACCTCGGTCTCCTGGGTTCAAGCGATTGTCCTGCCTCAGCCTCTGAGTAGCTGAGATTACAGGCATCTGCCACGATGGCCGGCTAATTTTGTATCTTTAGTAGAGATGGGATTTCTCCACGTTGGTCAGGCAGGTCTCGAACTCCCGACCTCAGGTGATCGGCCTCTCAAAGTACTGGGATTACAGGTGTGAGCCACCCACCGTGCCCAGCCTCTTTTTTTTTTTTTTTTTGAGACACAGTCTCCCTCTGTTGCCCATGCTGCAGTGCAGTGGCATAATCTTGGCTCACTGTAACCTCCACTTCTCAGGTTCAAGCTGATTCTCCTGTCTCAGCCTCCCGAGTAGCTGGTGTTACAGATGTGCACCATCACCCGGCTAATTTTTGTACTTTTAGTAGAGACGGGATTTCACCATGTTGGCCAGGCTGGACTCGCACTCCCAAGCTCAGGTGATCTGCCCACCTCGGCCTCCCAAAGTGCTGGGATTACAGGCATGAGCCACCGCACCGGCAAGAATTTCTTTTTTTGAATAGTTCAACAATTATTTATTAGTGGGTCACAATGGCACACACCTGTAGCCCCAGCTACTTAGGAGGTTGAGGCAGGAGGATTGCTTGAGTGAGCCAGCCTAGGCAACATAATGAGACACCAAGACCCCGTCTCTAAAAAGAAAAAAATGTATTTATTGTAGGCCAAAGTTTGCCTGTCTGAAAATTTCGTTATGTTGGTTCTAGTTCTGCCCTCTGGAGTAACATAGTGTAAGATGAAACAAGGCTGTTCTGCCTTCTGTTTTGTAACCCTCATTATCTGAAAACAGCTCTCATGTTTTCTTCAGATTCAAGATTCTTAGCTTATTCAGCCATTACTGAATGGTGTGGTTGTAGTTTGTAAACAGGGTGATTGACAGGTCTAGAGCATAAGTCTATAATGGATTTATCAGAGGGCACTAGGTTCAGTGAGGCCTGGAAAGGATCCTTGTGCACATTTGCCTTTTCCAGAGATAGAGGATGCTGCAGCAACCTAAGCTGGGCCTTATAGCGGAGGAAATATACCAGACTAGTTCAAGAGCCAATTTCATTAATTCACTGTCTTACCCAATCTATCCCAGAACCACCAAATCAGGTCTCTTGGCTGTTGATGCCAGTGAGCTCCAGAAAGATGAGGCATACGCAGGCAGTACTAGAACTATATTCAAATTAATCTCTGCTGGACAGTTAAGCAGTCCTTATCTGATTTTAGTTTGGAGTTAGGGTTCCTTCTAACACTCAATGTCTTGTTCCATCTTTCCACTGCATGCAGACATCTGAATGGGACTCCGAGTGCCTTACATCCCTGCAGCCCCTTCCTCTTCCTACACCCCCAGCAGCAAATGAGGCACACCTGCAGACAGCAGCTATCTCTCTGTGGACAGTGGTGGCCGCCGTGCAGGCTATAGAGAGGAAGGTGGAGATCCACAGCCGGCGACTCCTACACCTGGAAGGTCGGACAGGGACAGCAGAGAAGAAACTAGCCAGCTGTGAAAAGACAGTTACCGAGCTTGGGAACCAGCTGGAGGGCAAGTGGGCCGTGCTGGGAACCCTGCTGCAGGAGTACGGGCTGCTGCAGAGGCGGCTGGAGAACTTGGAGAACCTGCTGCGCAACAGGAACTTCTGGATCCTGCGGCTCCCTCCAGGTATTAAGGGAGATATCCCAAAGGTAATACCTTCATTTCTAGATGTAAAGTGGTACCACTAGAACTTACATTAGTAGTAGTCTTGGTCATTCAGTTACTTAGATTTTTTATTTCCTTTTAAAGTTTCTTAAAATATCTCAGTCTGAAAGAATCATGAAGGTGTTTTATGTTTGTCTATTTGGGAAACATTTTATGTTCAATTTAGTACCCATTTAGAGTGCCAAGATTCAGATTGGAAACCTCTTGCTGGACCAAAGTTGGCTATCTGGTAGATGGATTTTTTTTCTCTTTTGGTTTCTCCTACCCATTACCCATGAGCCGCTTCTTTCTTCGTTAACTTGTGTGCCAGATTCTTGGGGAGGAGACTACATAAATATTCTTTTAAATCAGTCAATTTGAGGCTGGGCGCGGTGGCTCATCCCAGCACTTTGGGAGGCTGAGATGGGCAGATACCTGAGGTCAGGAGTTTGAGACCATCCTGGCCAACGTGAGGAAACCCTGTCTCTACTAAAAATACAAAAATTAGCCGGGTGTGGTAGCACATGCCTATAATCCTAGCCACTCGGGAGGCTGAGGCTGGAGAATAGCTTGAACCCAGGAGTTGGAGGTTGCAGTGAGTCGAGATCATGCCACTGCATGCCAGGCTGGGCAACAAGAGCAAAACTCCTTCTAAAAAAAAAAAAAAAAGGCCTGGCGAGATGACTCACACCTGTAATCCCAGCATTTTGGGAGGCTGAGGCAGGTGGATCTCCTGAGGTCAGGAGTTCAAGACCAGCCTGGCCAACATGGTGAAACCCCGTCTCTACTTAAAATACAAAAATTGGCCAGGTGTGGTGGCTCACACCTGTAAACCCAGCACTTTGGGAGGCCGAGAAAGGCAGATCACAAGTTCAGGAGTTCAAGACTGGCCTGGCCAACAAGGCGAAACCCCATCTCTATTAAACATACAAAAATTAGCTGGGCTTGGTGGTGGGCGCCTTTAATCCCAGCTACTTGGGAAGCTGAGGCAGGAGAATCGCTTGAACCCGGGAG